>NC_000004.12:92557744-92860774 GCF_000001405.40 Homo sapiens | reverse complement strand
GGTTCAGGCGAAATGGCAGTCATAACAGGAATGAAATCAAGTCCTTACCCTCATGGAAATTACATACTTGTTGACCGAATGAATAAATGAATAGGATAAATAAACTAATCACTTTTCCTCTCATTTTCAACTTCTACCTTAGTCTTCAACTGCAATTTTCAGAAGTTAACATTTCATAGATAAGTTTCAAGAGAAAAGGTGAAAAATGCTGACAGTTTATAGCTGATCTCCCAGGTTTTGTATACTCTTACTCTCTTTATAGGCAATATTTACTTTGAAATGCCATCAAATCTATCATTGTAATAGCAAAACTCTGCCTTTTTCCTGGCTTCCAAGCACTTTCACAAATCATAGTCTAACAACTACAATCCAAGCTCTGAGTACAAAGTAGAAAATAAAATTAAATCGCTTTTAAAATTCTATACATAGACCAACATCTCGAGTAAGCAAAGCCTTGTAAAATTGATGTTAACAAAAAGAAAGCTGACCGGTGCTGGCCCTCAGCAAAATTGTTAGGTGGACACAATGTTTATTTGTCACCTCTTACGTTCTATTCAACTCTGTAGAATTTTCCAGTATAAATTATAATGTTGAGTTCTGAGGTTTGCCACTTGTTAAGTCTGTAATCTTCAATTTAAAAATTAACTTCTCTGGGCCTTAGTCCAGAAAAAAAAAGACAATTCTTTGGTTTGTTGTAAGTATTGCATAAAATGATATTTGTGAAGTACTAAATATGATTATTACTCCATTCTTCTTCTTGTCAGTGGTTCTCAGCTAGAGGCAGCTTTGCCCTCCTATATTTGCCAAAATAGAAAAATATTTTTGATGGTGATGACTAGAGGGGTGCTAATGGCATCTACTGGACAGAAGCCAGAAATGCTGCTAAAGATTCTACAATGCACAGAACAAATGCCCACAATGAAGAAATTTCTGTCAAGTGTCAAGACTGAGAAACTCTACTCTAGGTAGGCAAGTTGCTGCTATCTGAAGAAATTTCAGTTGTGGATCAGCAGATCATTTCTTTCTCACTATTCTCACTAATAAAGAGAATAAAGAAACCCTTTATTCTCTTTGTTAAGGTATCTACTCCTCAATCAAGGTGTCATTCAAACTTATTTGTGTATGATTGTCTCCTAGAATTGTTTGAATTTTTACAAGGTGAATCTGGAAATATAATCCAAGGAAAAAATCTGAGGATATAATTTTCACAAATCATAGTCTAGCAACTTTCTATAAGATAACAAGGAAGAAGGGGAAATTCATTTTGGATCTTTTTGTTAATTATTTAAAATAAAAGAATAGGGTCAGACCTCAAAGATATTCTGGATTGAATTCCAAAATATAGCTATAAAGCAAATATTACAATAAAGTGAATTACATGAATTTTTTGGTTTCCCAGTGAATATAAACATTGTGTTTATACTATACTATAGTCTATCAAATCAACAATAGCATTATGTCTACAAAATGCACATATCTTAATTTAAAAAATTCTTTATTGCTATAAATTGTGAATGATTGTGCATTCAGCCAGTCATAATATTTTTGCTGGTGTAGGATTTTATCTTGATGTTGATGGCTGCTAACTGATCAGAGTTCTGGTTGCTGAAGGTTGGGGGGCTGAGGCAATTTTTTAAAATAAGAATAAAATGAAGTTTGCCACATTGATTCTTTCTTTCTTTCACAAAAGATTTCTCTGTAGAATGTGATGCTGTTTGATATCATTTTACCCGTAGTAGGATTTTCAAAATTGGAGTCAATCCTCTGGAAATCTTTCACTGCTTTATCAAATCAGTTTATGCAATATTTGAAATCCTTTGTTGTCATTTCAACAATGTTCAAAGTATATTCACCAAGAATAGTTTCCTGAGATGGAAACTTAAAACCTCTTATTTATTCCTTCATAAAAACCAGCTCCTGGCCAGACACAGTGCTCACGCCTGTAATCCCAGCACTTTGGGAGGCTGAGGCAGGCGGATTACAAGATCAGGAGATCGAGACCATCCTGGCTAACATGGTGAAACCCCGTCTCTACTAAAAATACAAAAAATTAGCCAGGTGTGGTGGTGGGTGCCTGTAGTCCCAGCTACGCAGGAGGCTGAGGTAGAAGAATAGCGTGAACCTGGGAGTCGGAGCTTGCAGGGAGGTGAGATCGCACCACTGCACTCCAGCCTGGGCGAAAGTGTGAGACTCCGTCTCAAAAGAAAGAAAAAAAACAAACAAACTCCTCATTCATTAAAATTTTATCATAAGATTGCAGCAATTCAGTCACTTCTTCAGGCTCCACTTAAAATTCTAATTCTCTTGCAAATCCACATCTGTAGTTACTTTCTCTACTGAAGACTTGAACCCTTAAAAGTCATGTATGATGGTTGAAATCAACTTCCAAATTTCTGTTCATGTTGATATTTTGACCTCCCCCATGAATCATGAATGTTCTGAATGGCATCCAGAATGGTGAATCCTTTCCACACGATTTTGTCCCAGTCCATCAGAGGAATCACTGTCTATGGCAACTTTAGCCTTAGGAAAAGTATTTCTTAAATAATTAGATTGAAAGTTAAAATTACTACTCAGTTCTTCAGAATGAATGTTGTGTTAGTAGGTATGAAGACAACATAAGTCTCCTCATACAACTCCATCAGAGGTCTAGGTTGACCAGGTTGCATTGGCAATTAGCAGACATAATTTGAAAGGAATTTTGTTTTCTGAACACTATGTCTCCAAAAGTGGGCTTAAGATACTCAGTAAACCATGCTATAAACAGTTGTGCTGTCATCCAGGCTTTATTGTTCCATTTATAGAACACAGGCATAATAGATTTAGCATAATTCATAAGGGATCTAGGATTTTCAGAATGGCAAATGAGCAATGGCTTCAACTTAAAGTCAACAGCTTCATTAGCCCATAACAAGAGAGTCAGCCTGTTCTTTGAAGGTTTGAAGCCAGGCTTTGATTTATGAAAGTCCTAGATAGCATGTTTATCCAATATCAGGCTGTCCTATCTACATTGGAAATCTGTTGTTGGGTATATCCACCTTCATCAATGATCTTAGCTATATCTTCTCAATAACATTCTGCAGCTTCTACATGAAAACTTCCTGCTTCACCTTAAAGTTTTATGTTATGAAGATGACTTCTTTCTGTGAACCTCAGGAGCCAACCTCTGCTAGCTTCCAACTTTTCTTCTGCAGCTTCCTTACCTCTTTCACATTCATAAAATTGAAGAGTTAAGGACTTGCTCTGCATTAGGGCTTTGACTTAAAGAAATGCTGTGGCTGCTTTGGTCTTCTATCCAGACCACTAAAACTTTCTCTATATCAGCAACAAGGCACTTTTGCTTTTTTATCATCCATGGGTTCACTGGAGTAACACTTTTCATTTCCTTTAAGAACACACCAACACACCCTGTACATTCACAACTTTGCTAACTGGTGCAAGAGCCCTGGATTTCAGCCTATTTTGGCTTTCAACACTCTTTCCTCACTAAGCTTAATTATTTCTAGCCTTTGATTAAAAGTGAGAGATGTATGACTCTTCCTCTCACTTCAACACTTAAAGATCATTGTAGGATTGTTAATTGGCCCAATTTCAACCTTGTTTTGTCTCAAGAAATAGGAAGGCTTGAGGAGCGGGAGGGGAATGGAACAATCCATTGCTGGAGCAGTTAGAACACAGACAACACTGATTGATTTAGTTTGCTATCATATGGGCGTGGTTAATGGCACTGCAAAACAATTATAACAGTATCAAATATCACTGATCACAGATCCCTTTAACATATATAATACTAATGAAAATGTTTGAAATATTCTGAGAACTACCAAAATATAACACAGAGACATGAAGTAAGCACGTGTTCATTGTTAAAACGTACTGACAGACTTGCTCACTGCAGGGTTGCCACAAGATTCCAATTTTTTAAAAAAAGTTCGGTATCTGTGAAGTGCCATAAAGCAAAATGCTTAAAGGTATCCCTGCAATGGTGAGAAGTTAACAATGTCCGTACATAAAACCAACTACGTACAAGATGTTGAAGAAAAATGCTGACATTTTGGATAACTTCTCTAATGCATCAGGTAAGATATTCACAGGAGAGAAGTTTTTGCTTCATAACAGTGATATCCTTTAACTTAAACTCCAGTGGAAAAACCTTAAGTGAAATCTAATGGTACAGCCTTATTTAAGTAAATTCATAGTTTGATTGCAACTGATTATCAATAATGATTTTCATACTATCTTCTGGAAAAAAAGTGTTGAAAAATGCAACAGAAACACACACAAATTTACTTGTATTTTTGACCCTATTATGCTTTCCAAAGGTGCAGTTGCCATTAGAGGGATAAACTCCAGGCTTTCAGTATACTGTTTAAATTTAGGCATATTGCTTGTTAAGAATGGAAAGACCAAACATAATGGTAAGGAGCGAAGGGACTGGAATGGGAGGTGGAGTTTTGGTAAATAATGGCCTGATATTAGATAGTGGGTATAGAAATTCAGAGGACAAGAAGGACAGGAATGAAAATATGATAATAGAAAAATATGTCGTGTAAATTGTTGGTGAAAAAAGCAAGGAACAAGGAAGAATCAAATCTATTGTTTAGTTCTTGAAACTGGATCTCTCTGTAGACCCAGCTGTCTTAAAAATAAACCAGTAACACAGGAGTAGAGATACAGATAACCAATTAAGGATAATTGGAAAAAAATTCCAGCTTGGAGGAAAGACTCATCCACTTTTTACAGTAATGGTTTTAAAGTATCTTTTTTGCGTGAGGCTTTTCCTAGTAATTGTAAATATATTTCAAGTGGAAAAAGCCTGAAACATCGCGTGACATGATGCAACCTTCAAGTAGACTGTTAACATTGTACAATGAGTGAAAACAATCATTTCACCTTTCCTATATTTAAAATTAGAAAGAAAAATATTAATGTTATATACCTTCTTGTACTCCATTGATCTCTAAGATAGTATTTATTTCTAGTCAGGAAATTCACCTCCAGATAAAAATAATTCATATTATACTTATGAAGTAATCAGTTCTTAAGACTAAAAAGGTGTGTGTTAAGTTTAATAAAAATCCTATAAACAACAATGGTTATTTTTCTATTTATATTAACTTATCACTTTCCTTTGACCTATATTCCCAAGGCCATTACACTAGTGTATAGTATGTATATTTGCAATATTGGAATATGAATTTTGTTTTATTTCTGGAAAATGGAATTACAATATTAGTGATAGATTTTGAATGACTAGAATTAAGTAAGCAATGTCATATGCAGAATCAAATAACAAAAAGAACATGGGAAACCATGGTCATCTAAAGTGATTGAATCTATTAGTAGACAATATACATGCATATGGCATATATAAATAATAAATATAGTAATAATAACAAATAATTTTTTATCTGATGTGCAGGACTATTCGCCTTTAAGGTAAAGACAGGTACCATATACATCTTTCTCTCCTTTATACTGTGGTTTCAGGGAATTGCTTTATCTCTAAAGTGACATACAGAGGTAGAAACTTAATTGACAAGTAGGACACAGCTCATTAAGTCAGTCATCTTTACACTACAGTGAATAGGACATTCATTTGTCATTCTGTCACTAGGTAGCTGTAAGAAGTAGTCTCACAATGCTAGATTTGGGACATCCAAAAGGCTTACAATTAATTCTGTATGGTTATAGTTTCAAAATGGCTTTTTATAAAGAATAGCTTCCAAGTGGGAATAGCAGATATGCCAGAACTTTTATTGAATAAAACTAGTTTGGTGACTATAATTTATATTTGAATTTTTATCCTTTAAACCAGATGTAGAAAACACAAAATATTATTTCCTTTCCAAATGGATATTTTGAAGTAAGAGCTAAGCAGAATACTCAATTTCATTATGGCAAAGAGATTGGCAAAAATAAGACATTGTTCTATAAACTATAAACTTTCAATCTTCATTTAAAAAATTTTCCCCTTTCTAAATTTTTTTATTATTTACATTAATAATACATTTTTATTGAGATAAATTTTGAAAACTTGTGTACCTTTATTTGGAAATATATTATCCTGCACTTGTTCGTAAAACTTTACTATTGTGTAATTTTTTAAAACATATATTTAAAGTTTACTTTTCCTGACTTTCATATCATCTTGTTTACGTAGATTCTAATTTAAGGCTAAGTATCCTCAAAACACAGACACACACACACACACACACACATCCTCACTCACACAAACACACATCACAACTTCTCTCCAGAAATTGCAGTGTTCGAAACATGTATAATTAAATTAGCTGTTCTCATTGTGGTATAAGAATATCACTCTATGTTCCTCAAGCACAGATAAGCAAATATTTTGATGGCTTTCTCAGTAAATGTCTCTGCCCCTGGAGTGATCTTTTCAGCCCAGAATTCAGAGAAGGGAAAAAGAAGACAGTTATATGTTTTCTCCTAAATGTAAGAAAGTAGTAATAAGTCTTCTATTGGATTAAATGTCTTGTTCAGCATGAGGGAAATACAGCACATTAATTCAAACATTTTGTGTGATTTTAATTATAGCACATACTACTAGTTCTCTACTCTCAAATTTGAGTTTTTGCATATGGCTACTCAAAATAAAGTCTGTAGCCCAGACCACCCCTTGTATTTAGGGATGATAAGGTGAAGCCACATGATGAAGAAAGAAAGAAAAAAAGAATTTTGGTCCTCTGGCACTCTGGAGTCATTGCACCACAGATCTGTTCACAGTTCTCATCTTTTTTTTTTTTTTAATTTCAAATTGATTTTAGATATGGGGGTACATGTGCAGGTTTGTTACATGGGAATGTTGCATGATGCTAAGGTTTGGTGCACAGATATCATCACCCAGGAAGCAGGCATGGTACCCGATGTGTAGTTTTTCAACCCTTTCCCTCAACCCTCCCTCCAACCTCTAGAAGTCCACATTGTCTGTTGTTGTCATGTTTGTGTACATGTGTACTCAATGTTTAGCTCCCAGTTACAAGTAAGACCATTTGGTATTTGGTTTTCTTTTCCAAATTCACTGTTAATTCATCAGACTTATATGCTCTTTAAGCCACTATTGACAGGTAAGAGTTAAATTCACTCAAAAATAATTTTAACTAATTTAATAAAATGCTACCATTGAAATATATAAATTATATTAAATAGCTACTATGAGTCAGGGTAGGCTCTGGCAAATAAAAAAAGGAAGTCATGTGTCTTTATTTTATGGAGTCAAAATTCTGGTGAGATAAAATGTCATTTCAAATAAGCATGACAGAAATAAAAATATGAATACTATTTTAATGGAGTGACAGTGAGGATTTAAATTTTCTATGAGATTGGAGAAAGTCAGTGTAAAAGATAAAACAAAAAATCTTCATACAAAGGAAATACCTCTCATTAATTAATTCATCTATTTATTCAATATAAATTTATCAAACATTTATTGTGTTTATATCCATGTTAGAGTTTCATTGTCTTAATCAATTATTTATTTGACATTCCTTTAATAATCCACTTTGGCACTTCCTGAGTCATATATTATATCATTTAATCCTTCTGATACTTTGTGATGGTCGTGTTACAGATAAGGGACCTGAAGGTTAGTGAGCTGAAACAACTTGTCCATAGTCACTCAGCTAAATGTGGATCAACAAGGCTTGAGTCATGGTCTATGTGATTCCAAAGTCTGTGCTATATGTCAAGGATTTGCCTCTGCTTCTAAGAAGTTCATATCCTTGCAGAGCAGACCAAGCACATTATAAGAAAATGCAAACACTGGCATATTAAAATACAAAGAATTTACAGCAGAACAGAAAGAATGATTGATTATTCCTGGGTTCATGGTAGGAAGGCATAAGGGAGAATCACAAAATAATTAACAATGAAGCTGAAAATTTAAGGAAGGGTAAAAATTCAGGCATAACATGGGAGAATGAAAGTTCCTAGCAGAAGAAAGAGTATGTGCTGAGGTAAAGAGGTGTGAAATAGTGTGGCTCTTCATAATATTCCAGTGTGGTTACAGCAAAGAGTGCGCCACGAGGAGCTACAGGAAAAATGGTGTAGAAACCCAGGACATGGGGACTTTCAAGAAGGAGGGCATGGTTAATGGAATCTGTGGCCTGGGAGAGTTTACTAATAACAAGGACTGTGGAAAAAAATCATTGCATTTGATGATGAGGAAATTATATCAAAGAGCTTCAGAGTGGGGTCACTGAAGCAGAAATGGGTGAAAGTGGACACATATTTTAAGACAATTGAAGTGAATGGAGTGAAGCATGCAATTTAAATTTGAAGAAAGAGTTTCCCTTCAGCGTGGAGTTGTTTATTTTAAGGTGGAAGACAGTTCAGCCTATCTGAGGGAAAGGAGCTAGTAGGGAAGAAGATGCAGAAAGTTTATTAATGATTCAGTCTTCTGGAAGAGGCAGAAAGGGAAAAGAGGAGACAGTACAGATGAAAAGACTGGAACTGGCTGGAGCATGTATTCAGCTGAGAAAAAAAGGTAAAGATGAGGAATTCCTAGTAAAATAGAACATGATTTTTTATAGACAAATACCTCCCTTACACATCTCTATCCTGCCTTAAATGCCACAAATACACCCCCCTCCACATACAGAGAAAACACAAGTGTTCATCTCTTACCCGAGATTGTCTTTAATTTGCCTATCATTGTGCCTGTAATGAATACTTTAATAATGTTTTTAATGCAACTTAAATTTGTGACCAAAGGCCTGCTTCTTCCCCTTCTGCACAGACCTAATTATATAATTACCACTCTTTACAAATTTCTTAACAAAAGGACTCTAAATATTTACGAATTGATTTCTTGCAATTTTTTAGGTGGTCTCAGGAGTCTTTCTGCATTCTTTTGCAAAGAAAGTACATATTTTTTGATTCATTCCTGTTTTGTGAATGACCGTTACAAAGTTCACCCACTTTTTCACATACTTTCTCTGTAGGCAGGAACTTAGGTGTTACTTTGGCCTCACTAGGCAATATTATGTACTCCTATGACCTATAATAATGGAAAGCATGGCATTTAGAGTTTGGTCCTTGTTTTACCTGTACTACTGATTCATTACAAAGTTGAACAAGTGTTTTAAGTGCTATGCATCACAACTTTTCTTTAACTGAAATTTAGATATACTAATGTTTGATATGCCTCTTTTGCATGTTAAACATTACCTACATAATTATCTCTTAATTACATTTTTGAGATTCTTAATATCTGATTATGTAGAAGAAGGAAAAACTATTCAAAGCTATTATATGTTTTATTAAATTGAAGACTAGATTACTCTAAAAATTCTGTAATCCTGATAAGAAATAACTACAATGAAATATAAACTGAACCCTCTCAATGATTTACTATGCATTTTGAATGAGCTGTATTTGCCTTTGCCTCATTGCTTTAATAGAAATGTTTTTCTGGTGAGATAGAAATGGTCAAATTACCATGTCATATTTATTTATTCTTATTACCATCAAGAGTAAAAAAATCATACTTTCTTATAAGCAAGCACTTTTGAATTGCTAAATTTTTATTTAAAGTATTTGGCTGATTTGTTAATATTTTAGGTCTAGCAGTAATTCACAAGTACATATTACCATCACATGGCATTAAATGATCATGAAGCCTGATTTGAAATAATTAAGGATATTTGCTATTGAAACAATAGATTAATAAGCTGCAAATTAAAAATATTTCAGTAATACTAATTAAAAGTAAACTTGACTATAATTAAATGATCATGTTTGCTGCCTCTCCTCTCTCACCGTTTGACTTTCATGTGCATATGCACACACCTGTGGCAATGAAATGATTTTAATGCCTTCCTATTGGTGCCTAAAATAAAGCCATTATATGAAGAATTTTCAAAAGACAACTGACTCACTTAAAGTCTCTGGATATCCAGAAATTTATTGCTCAAATGGTATTTTTGAACACATCCCAATCATCTGAAGGAAGTAAATTGCTCTTGGGTCATTGTGGGTCTCGATTCAACAGCTCTACATTTCAACCTTTTTAACTGGTCACTGACATCTGCAGCAGCTTGCTATATTGTAATAAAATAACTGAACTGTTTCTATCATTTGGGAATTCAGATTCACCTTTCTTGAAATTTCTTAAAAGTGGCTAGCTCCTTAGGAGGAAAAATACTAAAATATATGGGTAAGAAATAAACATGATACCATAGTACACAATCTGGGTTTGTAAAATACTCACAATGAATGTCTGTGATCTTCTAAGTTTATGTATGAACACTGCAAATAAAACCATATCTATGTCAATCAATCCTGTTTGTGTTCACTACCAAAATAAATTGTTTATTAACATCCATGAAAAATGTTCAACTATCACCAAGAGGTAAATATGTAACATTTGTTTACAAAAAGTTTTACAATGAATAAAATACCTGAAACAATGCATATTTTTATAAGAATATTTGTTCAGGTGTGTAACAGAGAATAATTATAACATACAATATGAATTATGAAAATATTTTATTTCAATGTATATCTAAATAGAACCAGTATGTAGTGTAGATTCACTTATAATTATATATTGTATTTATCTATAAACATATCAATATATATTACTAGAAAAACAATGATTTCTTAGTGCTGATAAACTTTGTAGATCTTTTAATAGTTCAATAGTATTAGTGAACTTTGAATATTTGTATGAAATATAAAACATGCATTTTTGAAAAACACACAATGTTCTGAGAACCATAAATATAATTGTTTTAAAGATATTTAAATTTGTGGCATATCATGTGATTAATTCTGTCTTCTCAAGTAGAAAGCTATAAAATATATTATAATCTTTAATTGCTTTATTACTTCTTGCAATTAAATTTACTGTAATAACCCATGATAAAGTAGATTTCTGGAAATTTCAATCATTAAAAATCATAGCAATGAAACAAGGAAAATAAGTACAAATTATTGTAAAAAGTCTTGGTTCTTTATGCCATTGAAATAATCATCTAGCCTCATATTAGAAGCCAATCTTACATAATAAATAATAAATTAAGGTAGAGATTATAATGTCTTGGTAATATCAAAGTAAATATAAGTGATTTTTAGACTATAATAAAGATTGCTTAATAAGCTAAAAGAAAAGATGTTATAAGTTGAAAAATGGAGTTGAAGGGGTAAGCAGATGAGAATGTTTCTAGAAGCTGACAATGTGAGGTAACTATCAAAGAAAAGCACAACTGTTTAAATTATTAAAATTACTATTTTGTTATAGGATATGTTTTTCTCCATATTTTAGCCAAGTCATGCCTTTTACCTGCCTTTGACAACTGCTTCTTCCCACTCCCTAACTCATTGCATGGTCTCAAACTTCCTTCCTTAGAAATAGAGTGCATTCCAGGCAGAATTCTGTACCAACTGTTATAAATCCCCAAGTCAAAGAATACATTCCACCATCTCCCAGAAGAGAAACCAGGCCCTGCAGATAAAGGCAAGTACTAAGGAAAAATGCATCTGCTGATGTATCCTATCTGATAGGTAAATTATAGTACTCAAGATGCTTTCAAGCTTGATATCTCATCCTAATACAAACTCAGAAACACCTCTTTTTCATCATCATCAATTGACATCATCCAGTTTCAATTCAGTGCTGGGGTAAATGGCATGGTGATGGTAGGCGGCATATACAGGATACTTATAGCCCTCTATACCCTGGAAAGCTAATGCAAGTGTATTAGTTTATTAAGCCTCTTATAACAGAGTATACACACTGAGTGGCTTAGATAACAGAAATTTAATTCCCACAGTTTGGAGGCTAAAAATACAAATCAAGGTGTCAGGAGTTTAGTTACTTCTAAGACCTCTCTCTTTGGCTTGCAGATGTCCACTCCCTCACAGTGTCCTCACATGGACTTCCTTATACCCAGCTACACCCCTGGTGTCTCTATATGTGTCTACATTTTCTCTTCTTATAAAGACCACCAGTCAGATTAGATTAGGCCTACCTTAACTGTGTCATTTAAACTTAATCTCCTCTTTAAAGACCCTATCTCCAAAATAGAGTCATTCTGGTGTGACTCCAGATCCCCGTAGCCCGCTTCATTAAATTCTCAGGTGGTAATGATGTAGACTCATCAATCTAGTTACCCATTAACTTGACAATAGGCATTGTTCCAGGTGTGGGTATTAGAACAATCAAAGGCCACTCCAAGGCCTCCGATTTGCACTTTGCAAAATGGAGTTGAAGAAGTTTTCAGGTCATGGAACTCTATTTCATGATGATCGTTTGTTGCTTCCATTTCTCTCACCCCATAGAGAAAGCCTTTCTTTAGCAGGAGGGAATAAGGTACACATACATATGGAGTAGAAACAATAATGAATTGAGATAGAGAAGAGGAGTGAAGAGAGAAAGAGATGTGTAGAGGAAGCAAGGCAGGAAGGGAAGGCAGTAGAGAAAGGAGAGAATTGAAAGCCTAACTTGTGTCTCTACATTAAGTCAAGCCTAAAACTAGTTGAGTGCTGGTAAATAATTAGCAACTAGATCTCTGTGAAAAAAAAAAAAAAATCCCTGAATGTGTGATTGTGTTTGTTGATTTCTGTGGTGTGAACACTTCCAAAAAGACTGATTTCGAGCTGTTTGTGTTACATCAATGACTGTGGAAATGGAAGAGATGCACAGTAACATACCATTATTTTCACCATTCAGACACAATATAGATGTAAATTACTTCAATAGCAAAATCTAGTAAGATAAGTGTAAAGTGATGGGATTTGATTACTTATTACCTTGTCCTTTGACTGTTGACATGGAGATAAGAAAATCCTTTCTAAAGGCATATATCTATTATATACATATACACTGAATGCACAAATGCACAGGAAGCTAATACTGTCTACTGAATAAAAACATATATATCATTATTATATAAGTATTTTAGTATACTTTATTTTTAAAAAAGAAAGTAAATGGAACACGATTTGTTCGTTTGCCACTTAACTGTCCTGTGTCATGAAACAGATTATTTTATTTGATTCCATTCCATAAAATAAACATTCCTTGGGAAATAATTATTTATGACACTAGACTAAGTATGGAATGGAATATATGTCATTATAAAATTAATGGGAACAAATTCATCAGTATAGCTGTGTATGTAAGAATAAAGCTATATTAAAATTACAGAGATCTGAAGTAGAAGACATCTCTTTATGTTATCAAAATAGACATTTTGTTATTTTAAAGAAATTCATATTTATTATTTGAAGGCACAAATGCAGCCTAGGAGAAGGGGATTTTAAAATATTAAAGAGCAGGAAAGGAAGAGAAAGACAGTGATAGAGAGGCCAGCGAGATATAACTTAAATCATGTAGCAGCTATTGAGTGCTTATGGCAAAGAAGCCCAAGAAAAAACTGTCACAGAGATCTGCCATTCTTAGAGTATTTGTGAAAGACTGAGCCATGGGAAAATGCCAGGAGCAGAAGTGCTGGGGGTTGAGATTCTGCAGTTTGACCTGGTTGTGTCTACCTAATGCTTCAGCAAAAATTTAGGCAAGGCTCCAAAGGAAGCAGCAGCATAATTAGAAAAGGAAGAGGTTGTCTATTTGCAACACTGACAATGGCTAAAGTCTCAGCTGTCAGCCAAGCAGAAAGAGTTTCCATATGTTTAGCAACATATTCCATTTCTTAAAATGGCCATGGATTGACTTGTGACATAAAAAGTCAGGATCATAGTGAGAGAAAATGGAAAAGTGGTATCTTTACATTTTAAATGTTTAAAAGGATACCACTGGTGGGAGGCTCTATTGTGTTAACAAAAAGTGCTGGCTTTGAAGACAGATTGTCTCCTTAGGATTCAGGGCTCATCAATGGGAACATGGGAATCTTTCTATGACTGAGTTTCCTCCTTTGTAAATAGCATAGCGCCTACATCTTGGGTTACTGTAATGACTAAATACATGTAAGGCACACAATAAAAATGAGCTCTCTTTGTTTCAAGTATTTTTTGTGTGGAGAGCTGACTGAAATATTTAAACTGGAGTGCAATCTAAGCTGGAAGGGTGAGTAAAGAATTCACGTCACTTCATCTTCCCAGAAAGGGGAATTATGAATACGTGAGGTGGACAGTGGGAATGCAGGTGGATTAGACAAAACAAAGGTAGAGAGAGGAGCACAGGAGTCCAAGAATGTAGGAATCTAAACCAAAGGGGAAGACCTGATAAGCAACTAAAAGCAAGGTCTGAAGAGATCAAGCTGTAAGCAAAGGGATATTACATAGCTATAAAAAATTATGTCTTTGTAGCAACATGAATGCAGTGGGAGACCATTATCCTAGCAAATTAATGCAGGAACAGAAAACCAAATACTTCATGTTCTCACTTACAAAAGGGAGCTAAACACTGGGTACACATAGACATAAAGATGAGTACAATACATACTGGGGACTGCCAGAGGGAGGAGAGATGAAGGGGGCCAAAGACTCAAAAAATACCTATTAGGTACTATATACTCAGTACCAGGATGGTGGGATCATCTGTACTCCAAAGTTCAGCATCACACGATATACCATGTAACAAACCTGCATATGTAGCCCCTGAACCTAAAATAAAAGGTGAAATTATAAACAGAAATGAAGACGAAAGCTAGACACATCATCCCAGGGAATAAAGGCCAACTTGGAGAAGGAGGTGGCTATGAAATCTGTAATTTTAACTAGATATTAAGAAGTCATGAATTTAACAGTTTAAGAAGAGATAGATTTCTCTAGTGACAAAAATGGAGGTAAAAAACCTAAATAGCTTTGAGGTTGGGGCTAGAAATGAAGAGCCAGGTGGAAAAATAGATCAAACAGGGTTCAGAAAGAAGGGCTATGACCATAAAATGGAAGAGACATTGTCGAATATCATAATTATGGAACAGATTAACAGAATAAAAATGCATTCCTTAAATTACTACACACTAGAGCAAAGCTTGTATATGTGAAACAAATACATGCTGAAAACCAAATGATGAAGCGAGTTTCTTGGAAGAATATAAAGAGGTCTAGGATGATAGTCAAAGGGATTATCTCTAAAGAAAAATGCATGCAACAACAACAAAATTGCTTCTCAATTGTGTGGTTGCTGCCAGGTGTGCACCTGATATCCATTGGACTCGTAGGGAGTGTAAAAGGAGGTAAAGGAGATTGAGAAGGGTGGAGGAGGGCAGAGAGCAGGATGGTATATTTACTATGTTTTTTTAAAATTTTTATTTTTGGTCAGGTACCCCATCTACATGTCCAAAAGGAATAAAAAGTAGGGAGATAACTCCCACTCCAATGTCAACAATAATGTTTACAAAGAGGTGTTGTCAAGTTTCTAAAACAATGCACAGGACATGGTAAGCCCTCTACAGATATTTCATGAATGAAAGAGCAACTTAAAACTCAATTTAATGCTATATCTTAAGGAACTCAAAAAGTAAAGACAGGAAATTGTTACAGGGCTACTGCTTCTGCTCTGTATGAATATGAGCATCAAAAACAAACCAAAAAATAAACCAAGAGAATAAAAAGAGTTTCAAGACATGGCATTTAGAAAAATCAATCAAAGTGCCTCTATTCCAGTGGTTTTCAGGGTGTGGTATGTGGTCCCTGGGAGTCTTCAAGACCTTTCAGGGGACCATCAAGTCAGGACTATTTTCACAATATTATCTGAGATATTATTATCCTCCTTGTCCGCACATTTGTACTGATGTCATTAGAGCAATGATCAGTAAAACTATTGGTGCTTTAATCCTAATCAAGGCCATGGCACTGGACTGTACTAGTTAGTGCTCAACAGCCACAAATTTATTATTATACAAGTAAATAGACAAATGCATAAATCCAGTTTCATTAAGAATGTCCTTATTAAAGCAGTAAAAAAGATACTTTTTAAAAAAGCATTAACCCTTGAGAATAGCTTTTTAATACTACGCTATGTGACAAAATGAGAAGGAGGCATAGACATCTTGTGTGATTGTTTGGGAATGTGAGCTGGTCTAGCCAGATTTCTTCATCAAATTCAATCTTTTTTTTTTCTTTCTTTTTTTTTTTTTTTGAGACAGAGTCTTGCTCTGTTGCACAGGCTGGAGTGCAGTGGCACAATCTGAAATTTTCATCATTTGCTATGTAGGACATGACACAAGAAAGGCTACAATCAATCCTGATCATACTGTTCCCATTCACATATAGGTATTTAAAGGTGGATGATGATGATGATGATTAGAGACAGAGTCTCACTCTGTCGCCCAGGTTGGAGTGCAGTGGCATGATCTTGGCTCACTGCAACCTCCTCTTCCCAGGTTCAAGTTATTCTCCTGCCTCAGCCTCCTGAGTAACTGGGATTACGTCGCCTGCCACCACGCTTGGCTAATTTTTTGTATTTTTAGCAGAGACGGGGTTTCACCATGTGGTTCAGGCTGGTCTCAAACTCCTGACCTCCAATAATCCACCCGTCTTGGCCTCCAAAATGCTGGGATTACAGGTGTGAGCCACCGCACCTGGCCTAATCTTTACTTGGAAGAATGACTGACAGAAAAACTAGTAATCTAGATTTGAGTATCTGACAGATTTTTCTCAAAAATGAGTTAAGCTTGTTAATTCAAGGAAAACGGAATTATACTCCTTGTTGAATTTAATAAATTTCAAAATTTCAAGCAAAAATAGAATTTGAAAAATTTATCTACCACAGTCAACTTAATAGATTATCAATAAAGTTTTTTTATTAAATCAGTGGTGATATTAATCAATGGGATTTGATATTATATAATAAACTACGTCAGCATTTTCAAGATCTGCAATATTCAGTGAACCAGCATTTTCCAAATGACGAATGCATTGTTACAAAATCATTCATGAGTAAATATGCATTCAAAGAGCACAGTAGACCTACGGATTTTAATTTAGTAAAGTGAAAAGTTTGTTGATATGATTTCAGATTCTACATTGCAACTAAAACTTAAACTACTTGTTGAATTTGGTATAGTATCAAAGAAGATATTTATAAATATTTGAAGGTTATTGTAAAAAATCCTCCCTTTCCAACTACACATCTTTGTGACACTAAATTTTCCTCAAGTCGTTCAACAGAAACCAAGTACTGAAATACATTGGATGCAGAATCTTCTAATAAGATAACATAAAATAGATTTGTATAAGGGTAAAGCAGTATCTTCTCATGATATTGTATTTATTTTGAAAAATATAGTTATTCCTCATGAAAATGTTATGTTACCATGCAACAGGTTTATAATTTAATATTACCATTTTAAGTAATAACATATTTTCACATTTTCTAAGATTAAATTTCAGATACAGCAGACATCAATAAGTATAGCTCATAAAAACCAAAGTTCTACAGGGCCCACACTAATTTTCTAAGTGAAAGGAGTTCTTGAATTCAAAATGAGGTTTAAGAATTAGACCTTGTGTTGTTGATGGCTGAATTTATGAACTTCTGCTTTACCTGATTTTATATTCAGCTTCTTGACTTGTTTTTATTTTATTATTTTATTTTTTTTCGGAGACAGAGTCTTACTCTGTCGCCCAGGCTGGAGTGCAGTGGTGCAATCACAGCTTATTTCACCCTCTACCTCCCTGGTTCAAGCGATTCTCCCACCTCAGCTTCCAAGTAGCTGGGACTACAGGTATGTGTTACCCCTCCTGGGTATTTTTTATTTTTATTTTTTGTATATATGGGGTCTTATTATATTGCCTAGGCTTGTCTCAAACTCCTGGGCTCAAATGATCCTCCAGCCTTGGCCTGCCAAAGTGCTTACATTACCGGTGTAAAACACCATGCCTGGCTTTAATTCTTTTTGGTTTTGACTTCTTATCTACAGCCTCATCTTTTCTAATACACATCCCCTAAATGCCTGCCTCTACCACATTTCTTACCACACCTGATGTTTGATATCTGCTCTCTCAGATCTTTAGATACTCATATCTAAATGATCTGTTTTTCTGTCAGTCATTCTTCCAAGTAAAGATTAGGCCTGGCATGGTGGCTCATGCCTGTAATCCCACTTTTTTTGTTTTTCATCTTTTTCTTCTAAGTCTTATCTTTATCTTGCCTTTCCATGTAGATCACATTTGCTTCTAGATGGCTCTTCTAGGCAAGGAGAAAAAATACTATTTCTCAGCACCTGCCAAGCTGCCTACTATCTAAAAGGAGATGTACACTTTGACCTACATTACTGAGTGGTTGTTGTGAACGAATTATATTACTTTATCTTCCCAAATTTTAGAAACATTTCTAAATAATAGAATAACACAAAATATAAACTTTCCCTTTTCAGTAAGCATATGAAATTTCCTCATATACAACTAAGATAGATGAGTTCAACATCCAGTAAATGTTATTTATTAATGATGTAAATAACTACCACATTGTAGGAAAAACTGCTTTCTTGGTTTTTGTTCTCTCCTATAGTAGATGGTGAGCATTGCAGGCATGCCGTCTCTGCTTTGTAATCACTATGCTTCAAATATTTTGTGGTCACAGATACCATAAGTCCTTTCAAGTAAAACAAATAACTTATGGAATAGCAGGTTTAGAAATTGTGTACAGTAGCACCAAAACCCTAATGCATGCTGTTTAATGATCCCTAGAGAGAGTCTGGGCTACATCACTATAATGAATTTACAAGCATAGCATCATGCAGCATTCTTAAAAATCTAACCATCGTATTTAGAGAGATGACACCTAGATTTTTCCTAAGGGGTTTTGTAAAGTTGCAAACACTGCAATTTGGTAGTAACTTCTCCAGAAGCATTGCATTAAGGCCAGTTAAGGAGCCTTATTCATTTTACTGCAGCCCTGCCTATTTACACTTTCACCTTGTCTTCACAGTCCTTAGCTGGTATAAATGCAATAAGTTAAAAAGAAAATAAAATTAGAGATGATATTCCTATGTATTCCCTCAAGAGGAGAACTCAAAGCTGTCAGAATTGCTAAAGGAAAAAAAAAATTAAGCTATAAATATAAATATATGTGTTTGTTTGAATACCATATTGTTAGTGATAAGGTAGCAAAATGAAGTGAGAAGTACAAATGTTTCCCCTTGGGCAATAATTTTTCTGGCTTCACTTGGCCTACATTGCCACAGAGAACTGGAGAGCATGCATCTAAATGCAGCTTACTTGTAATGCTGCACCTGTTTGTAGGAAAAAGGACTGCATCTGGAATGTTAAACTTTTTCTAGCGAAACTAATATTAACTGATATTTAGATTCTTATAAACTAATCATCATCTAAATATGGAATAAATAGTAATGAGTCTTGTGGTCTGGAAATAAAACAATCTAATAATATTAGAAGCACATTGAAAGACATAAATAGCTCCTCAAATAAGCTTGTAACCCCGACTTCTGCATATGTAAAATTATAACTGTGGAAAGATGATACAGGTCATAAACTATCTTGTTATTTCTGGAAAATGTATGGTACTTGTTGAAAAAATATATATTTGGTAAATTTAAACAATTTAAATGTTTTGAGAAAAAAGTGAGTACATTTCTGACAAAAAGATTTCAGCTGGCTTTAAATCAGTGAATTTTACCTGACAGTTCCTGTGGAAGCAAAATTTTGCAATTAACTTGTTCTATTATGTGGTGAAAGCAATTACTAGTACAGCCTAGATTAAATGAGGAGAGGAGTTACTAGGAAGATCATAATCTGTCTCTGAGTCAACTCACATAAACCATCCATATCCTAAATCTTCTTGATGAGACCAGAGCAGATCTTGGAATCAAGATAAGTTGGGAAAGCAGTTGTTTCAGTGTTCATTCTCCATTTGGAATAGTTATTAAGAAGAAAAGAATCTGAGGCCTTTTAGCAAGCAGAATTAACCCATTTAGTTACTGAAACAGAGAAACAGAGTACCAAGAGAAACAAAAATACTACATTTATTGCTATTTTCAATATGTGAATATTGCAGTTGAAGCAAGAGAGCTTCAAATATTTCTTTGAACTATTCCTTTGATTTTGAACTTGGAAAGATACTACTGGTGAGGGCAAGGCTAAGTATGTTTTCAGTATAAACTATTTGGCTTTGTAGCATAGAAGAAGGAAGGACATATATGCTCAATGAAGAAGCTGCTCAATGAAAGCTTTTAGGATACAAAATGCCCCAAGAAACAAGATTATACATTTTCACGTAGAATTTCTTGAAGCAACATTTTTGCTTTTGGTACTAATTATGAAGAATTAATGTAAGTAACTGAGTTTCAAAAAGACAGTTCATCTGGAGTTTGGGAATAATTGAGGACTGAATAAACTCCCTATGTTTAAAAAAAAAGACACTAAATCATATCACCATAGAAAATCACTTTCAGTAGAGGAAGAAGGGGAGAAAAGAAAGAAGGAAGAGAAGACTACAAGACAAACAGAAAACAAATTTAAAAAAATGGCAGGAGTTAAGCTCTTACTTGTCAATAATAATATTGAATGTAAATGAACTAAATTTCCCTATTAAAAAAACTGAGACTGGTTGAATGGATGAAAAAACAAGATCGATCTGCATCTGTTGAATACAAGAGACACACTTTACCTGTAAAGACACACATAGACTGGAAATAAAAGTATGAAAAAATATATATTTCATAGCAATGGAAATATAAGCAGGAGTCACTATACTTATATTGTAAAAATACATTTCAAGACAAAACCTATAAGAAGAGACAAAGAAGGTAACTATATAATGATAAAGGGGTCAATTCAGCAGGAGGATATAACAAGTTTTAAATATATGTACACTCAACAGTGGAGTGCCCAGATATATAACAGAAATATTATTAGAGCTAAAGAGAGAGATAGGTCCCAATACAGTAACAGCTGGAGAATTCAACACCCCACTTTCAGCATTGAACAGATCTTTCAGACACAAAAATAACAAAGAAACCTCAGACTTAATCTGTACGATAGACCAAATGGATCTAATAGATATTTACAGGCCACTTTATCCAAGAGATACAGAATACACATTCTTTTCCTCAGCACACAGATCATTCTCAAAGAATAGACTAGATTTTAGGTCACAAGTCTCAAGACGGTCAAAAATATTAAAATAATATCAAGCATCTTCTCTGACTACAATGGAATAAAAATAGAAGTAAATATCAAGAGGAATTTTGGAAACTATACAAACACATGGAAATTAAACAATATGCTCTTGAATGACCACTGGATTGAAGAAGAAATTTAAAAGAAAATTTTAAAAACTTTTCTTTAAAAAGTTTTTAAAGAAAACTTTTTAATTTTAAAAACATTAATTTTAAAAACAATGAGAACACGCGGACACAGGAAGGGGAACATCACACTCTGGGGACTGTTGTGTGGTGGGGGGAGGGGGGAGGGATAGCATTAGGAGATATACCTAATGCCAAATGACGAGTTAATGGGTGCAGCACACCAACATGGCACATGTATACATAAGTAACTAACTGGCACATTGTGCACATGTACCCTAAAACATAAAGTATTAAAAAAAAAAAGAACTCTTACAACACACAGTATGAAATAAGAACCAAAGTCTAAACATAACAACACCAAGTCATGTTTACCAAATTTGTAAATCAAACTAAGATACCTCATTAAAATGATTGAAAGCACCAAAGAGCAGTTCTTCAAGGATGCATCAAGAAATGCTAAAATTACACATGCTCGCTTGAAAGACTTATAAAATCACTGCCATAGCATTCTCAGACACACCAATTCATAAGCAGGACGCTGGCCAGATAATCCATTGTGTTAATCAGTAGAAAAGGAAAGAGTGACCCTGTAATGTTTTATTTGTATTGTTGCTCGTGGCAACTATAGAACTCACATAAAGACTAGTCTAAGTAACTTTAAATAAATCCATAGCATTTCAGAAAGGTGATGATAGAGGTAATAGAGATCTGAGAGGAGAGGAAATGATCCTAAAAGGATAAAGAAAATTGGGGCTAAAGTTCCCTGCTCACCTCCTAACAGAGATTGAGCAGGTATTTCTTCCAGATTACAAAATATGGAGGAATGTTAGTTTACCACCTTCATATAGACAGTAACAGTCTAATGCTTTATGTCTAATAGAACATGGGCTTCCATGTCATTTTCTCCATGTTAAAATATTAAAGTTATTTTTTCAAGGTTACATTTGATAATAGAAATGTACATGCAAGCTTGTTCAGCCTTTTGGTTTCAAATTATAGCAGACACAGAGGTAAAACATTTCAATTTAATATTCATTAGTCAAATGGATTACTAACATTCATCTTGATGTGTATTTATGTTTGGGATTATTTGATTTGCTAAAAGCTAGGAATACTGTATATAGTACAGAGAACTTGCATCCATATTGCAAAATCAGAATCAATTATCTCAAGTGTAGACTATTATCATAAAAAAGATGTTTCATGCTCACAAAGACACACATCACTCCCATCTGGTAAATGGTAACTACTAAAATATTTATAAATATTATATCAAAATTCACATGTCACACATGGTAGTGATATTCAATTTTTATGTCTCCCAGTTAAAAGCCATTATGTATTGTATAATACACAGTCACCCATTTGTGTATCTAACAGAAAAATAAATGATTTTCTTAATATCTCCACAGGGATTACTTTCTAATCCTGCTGTGCAAATAATGTCAATATAATATTGAAGGAGGTAAAACACCATGGCTTTCTGAAGTTTGTTTGCATTTGTTTTCGATAATGTAATAGAACAAATTGTTTCTAGATGAGTTTAGGTTCATAATTGCTGATCTCATTTTTTTAAAACATTATTTTAATTGAATGCTTGGTTACTGTGTAGCACTTAGATATCTCTCCTAGGAATAAAGCTTATAGTCAAGTGACATATGTAAAAGGAGACATTTGCCATAAAGACTTTGAACAAGGACTTGAATTCGCGGCTCAAACATAAATCATACATTGTTTAACCACAATTAGGTTGTTGTTAATTTATGATAGAGCATGTATTTGCGTGCAATTAAATATGTGATGAGAATAAATAGATCCTAGTCCAAATCCAATTACTTTTTACCAAGTAAAACATGGAAAGGTACAGTATAATAGTATATTAGTATGCCACACCCCTTCTCAAATTAACTTCTGATTATAAAAGAAGTGTTGAAATACCTTTGGCCATTTCTGAACACCAAAAACATTTTTTCTTGGAATTTCATATTTTTCATCTTATTTAGACAGAAATTCAGAACATAAAATTTTAACCACTGAATATTTTTTCAAGGTTACATTTGATGAGTAAAAATGTACATGGCCTTTTTTTTTTTTTTTAACCTGAAGGGTACAAATACAGGCTATGTCTAGAGTGGAATTACACACTGAATACAGTTTTCCCCAATTTTTTTGAAGGTAGTGTTGAAACGGACCCAATAGTTTCACGGAGACTTGTTCTTGGGTAAACATAGAAATGGACCCTTCTGGTCTTAAAGCTTGAAACTTGTATTTGTTTGAGTTCCTTTCTCAGGAAAGGATCCCCAGGCCTCTTAAAAAGTATCAAAGAACTGAAACTCAGCAGATCATTTCATCCAGACAATGAAACACCAGGCCCCTCGTTCATCAGGATTGTGTCGTTACCATTCAGAGTTCCTGCTTTCTACATTTCTTCCCTGCTATAGAAACTCCTAATTTTAGTCATTCAGGGAGATGGATTTGAGACTGAACTCCCATCTCCTCGACTGAAGCACTTCCTTGGCAATACTCTCACAGTCTCAGTCATTGGCCTTCTGTGCAGCCAGCAGCAGGACCTAGACTGAACCCTTGGTGTTTTGATGACCCTGTGTCTTCCATTTTAAAATTTCCTCAAGCAATCTTCGCTTGAAGATTTTCGATTTTCTTTTGAAGCAGATCTGTGCTTTGCTGTTTCAAAGATTCCTCTTCTATTCCCCCACCTATTAGATTATTACATTATATTTCCTTTACTATGGGACTATTTTGTAGTCTATGTGGTTTACCAAATACTAAACTAAGTCAATTAAGTGCATTTATATGGTCTATTTTAAATTAACATTTATGTGTGTGTGTGTGTCTTTAATTCTGTTTACTAGGCTAGGGCCGTCTTTCTACTCAGCCTACATGCTCTAATATCTCCTACACCAAAATCCTTTTCCTTGATATTTCTGCCTCCTTACATTTTCCTAAAGTAGAAATGGACATGAAAATTATTTGTAAACTGTAATATATAACAATGCAAATATTTTCTGTTTTTTTTTGGTTAGTACTTATTCATTCAAATATGTATTAAGCGGCTGCTATTTGCCATGTACCATCCAAGTGGTTCCCAAACTGTGTTCATCAAATCCATTCAGCTTGTCATATGAGGTCAAAACTATTTTCTTAATAATACTAAGATGCTATTTGCCTTTTTCATTCTCATTCATGATTATACAGTGGAGTTTTGAACATTAGCTCTGATGGCTAATGGAATGTGTGCTAGTATATTTCTTGATTTTAATTTTTCAGCTTTAGTTTCCACTGTGCTAAAAATCAATAGCTATAATCCACATACACCAGAAGCCAGCAAACATTTTCTGTAAAGGACAAGATTGTAAATAGTTTAGGCTTGGCCAACCGTATGATCTCTGTCACTACTCAACTCTGTCGTTACAGTGAGAAAACAGCTATAGATGATACAAAAATAAATGGCAGTAGCTCTGTTCCAAAAAAAGCTATTTACAAAAAGAAGATACTGGTTGTATTTGACTTGCAGGCTACAGTTTGCTGACCTCTGATATAAATGAAAGCTCTTTTGGTTCTCAATATTTTTTAAGAATATAAAGGGTCTCTGACACCAAGAAATACAGAAACTACCGTAGAAGTATTCCACAATCAAATTAAGCCTGTGATCTGCTGTCAAGGAGTTGTCTAGAGGGAAATTTGGACACAATATATTGGGATTCCTGTTATATGGACAAAGTGAAAGACAATACGAAGTGTGGAGGGGAGTGTATACACTCATTACCATTAAAACAATTTTTTAAGGTTTATATGTATGCATACATTTGTGTATGTAAATTTTAGGAAATGTAGGGAAGGAAATTGTCACAGGCTTTTATCTAATTATTCTCAAATGTTAGTGGCTTCAGAATCACCTGGGGGTAAGAACTGGCATGGGGGGTGGTCCCATTTTAAAAATTCTTCTTATGTCTGGCATTAGGCTACAGCCTATGAAATCTGCCTTGTCAACAGGACCTCATGCAATTCTGATGTAGAAGGCAGTAGGTAAAACTAATGTACAGCCTCATACGTATGAGAAACAGCATAAGCATTATCTGTAGAATTTCCTGAACCAGAACTTCCTCTGTACTAGATAGACAGATAATATAAACAATTATAAACATTTTTATAATATTCTTACATGCCTCTCTACCTACTGCTAGCTACTTTTAGCTTATCTGACTTTATTATTCAATGTCTTCATTCTCTTATGCAGCCTCCAAAAATAATTAATGTATGCATAGAATGCTTAGATTATCTTCCTCCTTCCTACCTTTGTTTTGACACTTTGAGATACTTTCCCTACCCTCAACCTCATCTTCATTTGTTACCTTTTTTTTTTTTACCTCTTTCAGCTGCTTGTTGTATTTTTTATTATTCTCAACCCTTGTTTTGTCTCCTTACAGTAAATTTTACTTTCCATTGAGCACTGCCATATCATATTAAAATTTTGTGATTCTTTGACTTATTTAAAATAAGTTCTCAGAAAAGTAAAGCTGTTTCAATCTTTGTTGTATTACAGAGTTTCTGATACTATGTAGGTATTCAACCCATGCTAACTGAATTGAGGAAACAGGGTCTCATCATACATTTCCAAGGCGAAGTAACAGGGCAGTTTCACTTGATACATTATCAAGAGCTGTGTTTTATTAAATCTCATTCCCAGAACATTCTGCACGTGTCTTTTCACACTTTCTCATCCCTTATTCTCCATCCCCATCACAAACACCACACAGACCTAAGTAAGTATTACAGGCCTCATTAGGATAAAAATGCAGTGTCCAGAAATCACACAAAGAAATATTAGTACTTCCCAACCTACCTATAACCAAGTAGTTATCTAAAGCCTTTTCTACATTTGAAATAATGTGTTTAGTTATTGAAAACCATTTGCTTAATGTACCTCTTCTCTGATGCAGTATAAGCTGCTTGAGGGTATAAACTGTGTCTGTCTTATTCATTACCATACCCCAGTAATGCAGTGCTTGGCTCATAAAAGACGTTTGCATACTGCCTGATTAAACGACAAAAATTCAGAATCCCTCATTTCTCCATCTCATAAAAGGACTAATCTTTATGCTAGAATGTGGAGATCACCTATAGACAATATTCCACTGTTATAATGCCAAATGACAACAACACATAAGGCTTAAATGAATAAAAAGCAAAATGAAAATAGAAACATTTAAACTCTTTATGGTGAAAAATGGTTTTATTATCTTTGCCTGAGATATGAAATGAAATTCCTTAGACAAAACAAAAGAAAATATATGAAATAAAAATCAAAAGAGAACCTCCCATATTGTTGAAGGAAATATTGATGATATTCATTGGAATGGCAATAGCTTTTGACACAGTACTAGCATTTGTTTCTTACATTGCAATATAAATATAAAGGTTCAGGGGAAATCCTTTAAGTTGACACCGACAAGGAATAAATATTCTCTTAATCAACTTTAAGTAGATATTACTCTATCATAACTGACAGTTTCAAATCAATGCTGCTAAAAAAACGAATTTGGGACCTAACTTATTTGACATGAATCTATCTGATTTCAACAGGTATCTGTGAAAACATCCTTTAAAAAAGCAGTTAGTTTTCCATGTCATGATGGCTGCTCCTGAAGAAGTTAAAATGTGCTGGTGTTGGCTCAGGAGTGATCGTCACCCACAGGAAATTAACTGGAGGAAGATTCTAGGAGGCTCAGTGCTATGCAGGAGCCTGTTACCACAGCCACCAATAAGCTAACAGCGGAAGCTGCTGCCTAAAACTATTCTTTTTAACATCCAAGATTTTGAAAATAGTTCATCCTTTCACTATGCTATTAATAAAAATTCATAATACAATTTCATTCTCAATTTATCCAATATTTTAGGGTATGGTAGATAATGGCAGTCCTTTAGAATTGGTTATCCTTTTATTCTTCATCTGTAGCTGTTTATGTGATGGTAAAAACTTGCTCATGTTAGGTAGGGCATATATGATTACTTCTTCTGTCTGAATAAGAATATTTTAAGTCATTTGCTACAGAGAAAGAAAGATCATCAAGTGTCATTCCTGAGCTATAGGGCAACATGAAGTAATTTGCTGAATTGTTTATTAACATTATTGCCACTGTTATGACTGGATGAAAGAACAGATACTCATTCTTGACAGCCCTTGATGGGGTTTATGGATGAAGTACATGTGTCAGTACATCCCAGAGTCTTGTATAACTTTAGACTCTACTGTTCTTTATCACAACCTGACTTGTATTAACCAATATTTATGGAAAACTACTTAAAGTCCATGTCAGATGATTTTATTACAGACTTCCCCCGCTTCTCTGGAAGTATGTTGACAGTCTACATCGTGCCCTTGACTTCAACTCAATCATTAAGAGCTATGGAAAGTTATCCTGCATTGCTGTGGCTCCTGTTAGTATTGTTCATGCTGTGTTGAATTACCTCTATGCTTCTGGCTTGCACTAGCATATACTTTAAGAAACAACTGTTGGACATGCCTTATTAAATTTATTCTAGGGATTTTGTAAACATAACATCTACCATATCTTTCAATATACCTTTTAAAGTCAGTTTATACTGACTTTTCCCTATGACCTAATTAACGTCTTATTTCTTATGAACACTATGAATACTGTAATTGATAAAAGTGAGTTCATTACTATATCCACTTGGATGCATAGAGAAAAAGTGCAGGCAAATAACAGGACTAAATAGATTTCATTTTTATTTTATATTATTATTATTATTGTGACAGAGTCTCTGTTGTCCAGGCTGGAGTGCAGTGGCATGATCTCGGCTCACTGCAACCTCCACCTCCTGGGTTCAAGAGATTCTCTGGCCAGGTGTGGTGCTTCACCCTTGTGATCCCAGCACTTTGGGAGGTCAAGGTGGGTGGATCACCTGAGGTCGGGATTTTGAGACCAGCCTGGCCAACATGGTGAAACCCCGTCTCTACTAAAATTACACAAATTAGTCAGGCGTGGTGGCGGGTGCCTGTAATCCCAGGTACTCTGGAGGCTGAGGCAGAAGAATAGCTTGAACCCGGGAGGCGGAGGTTGCGGTGAGCCAAGATTGCGTCACTGCACTGCAGCCTGGGTGACAGAATGAAACTCTGTCTCAAAAAACAAAACAAAACAAAACAAACAAAAACAACAAAAAAAGATATTCTCCTGCCTCAGCCTCCCAAGTAGCTGGGATTACAGGCAGGTATCACCACATTTGGCTAATTTTATTTTTTATTTTTTTAATTTTTAGTAAAGATCGTGTTTCATCTTGGTGGCCAGGCTGGTCTCCAACTCCTGGCCTCAAGTGATCAGCCCGCCTTGGCCTCATAAAGTGCTGGGATTACAGGAGTGAGCCACCATGCCCGGTCTCATTTTTATTTACTAATCTTTCCTTTTTTTTATTTTCATAAGTTGATATTTGTATTCTCTTAATACCTTACTTATTTTATATATCTTTACATATAAAGCATATTAATAGAATTTGTGGCCAATATTACTAGTTATTACATCCTTTTTATACACTAATCATTGCTGAAACAGTCTTTTATGCACTGTATCATTAATCGTCAGAGCCATGTTAAGATGTAGGTAGCAGTTATGTTCTATTTACTTTCTTATTTTGGGGGGTTTATTTATATAGATGTATAATTTATTTATTTATATAGCAAGATGGGGTCTTGCTCTGTCTCCCAGTCTAGAGTATAGTGGCGTGATCTCAGCTCACTGCAGCCTCAACCTCCATGGCTTAAGTGATCCTCCTCTCTCAGCCTCTCAAGTAGCTAGGACTAACTAAGGCATGTACCACCACCCCCAGCTAACTTTACTTTAATTTTTTGTAGAGACAGCATCTCCTTACGTTGTCCAGGCTGTTCACAAATTCCAGTGCTCAAATGATCCTCCTGCCCCAGCTTCCCAAAGTACTGGGATTACAGGCATGAGCCACCATGCCTGGAATCATTTTATAGATAAGGAAAATAAGCTTTCTGCCAGTTAACTTGCTCAAAGCCATGCAGGTTTGAAAAAAAAAAAAAACGAAATTGGCATTTGAATCCAGGTTTCTCTGACTACAGAGTAAAAGTGTTTAACTTTATACTACAGCTGGATCTCCAATCATTTAGCTCACGTTTTTGTTGAGTTGTACATTACCTTTTTAATCTCATTGTCATTTGACATCTCTCAGACCAGCCATTTGTAATTAGGGGAGCAGCTCTTTGGTTTTCTGTGAAGCATACTCACTCATATTCTGAAAAGTCATTCACAATCCTTTGGTTCTTTGGTAAATTTCTGTTGCTTTCTTTCACAGTGATATAAAAGAATAGACATAAAATGATGATATTCATTTTACATGGTCTATTTTTTGTTACATGGAATGCAAGTTAAAATTCAGAGTGGGAAAAAATCCTAGAATCTTCTTATATAGTAACAATTTAAAAACTGGCTCTCTCCTTCCCCTAGTCCCTTCTGTTTCTCAATATCCCAAGGTATATCAGTTTAAATGTCAGGCAATATGGCATTGAAACTATTGTCCTTTCAGTGGCACTAGAAGATAATGACAGCTTAACCATTCTATCTCCTCCTGAGAAAGACATAGGCAGCCTTGAATGGCTGTCTGAGAGAAGGGTTAGATGACTGCTCTATGATATGTTCTGTAACTACACAATGAATTATTGCAATACCCAGATACTTAAATGGAATAGCTTTGTTTTCCTCTTAAAGTGATGAAGACTGTAGACCTAGGTAGAATAAGTATTTTTGCTTTAGTTTAAATAAGAGTGTAATAAAACCATAAAATTAGAAAGAAAACAACTTAAAAAATAAAACTATGAAGAATCTCTTAGTAAACTCAACAGAACTTATTTCTTGGCATCTGCCCATAGCAGTCTGTGCTGAGAACAGTTATTTAACTTATGACTCTTTAAAGATATTTTTAAATGAGAAATAAAAAATGTGTTTTGATAAAGTTGAATTATTAGTACTAAAATAATAATAATAGTATGCTTAAATAAGGAAAATTATTCATGATAAAATAAAAAATATCTAGAAGACAGTGAATGCCTTGGAACATAAAGCAAAGTGGTACCATAATGAATGATTAATGCCATAATGATGTTGGTATGTTGGTATGGTTTATGCACCACAAAACGTAGGCTTAGCTCAGTTCACTTTTTAGAGAACATAGAAATATTTTGAAGTAAGACATAAGGAGTCTTTCAGAATAAAAAAAAAAAAAACAATGTAAATCCCAGTTGTCCTACTTACTGCATGATCTTGGAGAAATAATTTATTGTTCTTAGCCTCAGTTCATTTTCTGTTCTTAAAATAACTGGACACTGTTTTGAGAATTATATTAGAAAATATGGGAGTGTTTATGAGTCCCAGGATTGCTTTAGGTGTTTCCTCAGTGCTAGTTTTGCTTTTTTTTTTTTCAATTTTATTTTAAGCGCTGGAATACATATGTAGAATGTTCAGATTTGTTGCATAGGTATATATGTGTCACGGTAGTTTGCTGTACCTATTAACCCATCTTCCAGCTTTTCAGCCCCACATGTATTAGGTATCTCTACTAATGCTCTCACTCCCCTTGTCCCCACCCCTGACAGGCCCTCGTGTGTGATGTTCCCCTCCTTGTGTCCATATGTTCTTATTGTTCAACTCCAACTTATCAGTGAGAACATGTGGCGTTTGGTTTTCCATTGCTGTGTTAGTTTGCTGAGAATGATGGTTTCCAGCTTCATCCATGTCCCTGCAAAGGACATGAACTCATTCTTTCTTATGCCTGCATAGTATTCCATGGTGTATATGTGCCACATTTTCTTTGTCCAGTCTATCATTGATGGGCATTTGGGTTGGTTCCAAGTCTTTGCAATTGTAAATAGTGCTGCAATAAACATATGTGTGCATATGTCTTTATAGAATGATTTATAATCCTTTGGGTATATACCCAATAATGGGATTGCTGGGTCAAATGGTATTTGGTTCTAGATCCTTGAGAAATTGCCATACTGCCTTCCACAATGGTTCAACTAATTTACACTCCCACCAACAGTGTAAAGGTGTTCCTATTTCTCAATAACCTCCCCAGCATCTGTTGTTTCCTGACTTTTAAATGATTGCCATTCTAACTGGCATGAGATGGTATCCTGTTGTGGTTTTGATTTGCATTTCTCCAATGACCAGTGATGATGACCTTTTTTGCATATGTGTGTTGGCCCAATAAATGTCTTCTGACAAAAACAAGCAATGACGAAAGGATTCCCTATTTAATAAATGGTGCTGGGAAAACTGGCTAGCCATATGCAGAAAACAGAAAACTGGATCCCTTCCTTACACCTTATACAAAAATTAACTCAAGATCGATTAAAGGCTTAAATGTAAAACCTAAAACTATAAAAACCCTAGAAGAAAACCTAGACAACACCATTCAGGACATAGGTATGGGCAAAGACTTCATGACTAAAACACCAAAAGCAATTGCAACAAAAGCCAAAATTGACAAATGGGATCTAATTAAACTAAAGAGCTTCTGCACAGCCAAAGAAACTATCATCAGAGTGAACAGGCAACCTACAGGATGGGAGAAAATTTTTGCAATCTATCCATCTGACAAAGGTCTAATATCCAGAAGCTACAAGGAACTTAAACAAATTTACAAGAAAAAAACAAACAACTCCATCAAAAAGTGGGTGAAGAATATGTACAGACACTTGTTTGCCTTCTTTTAGTTACTTATACCTGTTTCAACATGTACTAAAACAGAGCATAAAAAAAGCTAGCAAATTTTTGAAAAACAATGTTTTTCAGTGTTGATTAACATTACCAAAATCACACAAGAGAAAAAGAAAAAAATGTAAAACTTCATTAATTGAGTTAATTGGGGTGAGGAAGTTATCATCTGTAATTAGTTAAAAGTCAGAAATGTAGGGCATTTATAACCAAATATGAATTTATTTTCTTCAGGGCTATAAAGCAATATAAACCAATTATTAAACAATGTTGCCAAAGAATGATTCTGACAAATCTACCTTAATGAAGAGATAAGAAACACATAATTAGCACACTATTCTATACAAGTGCTCTAGTAGACTGCTTAGACCAAGTTGTTTTCTTAAATAAGTTAAGCAGTTTCATCTTAAGTCCCTACCTAATCCAATTAAAACTATTAATTTACTAATTCTATCAAAGGTAATTTTTGTCTATCTATCAAGTGCAAATCTATTCGCAGATTTCTACAATAAAGTCATTATGAATTCTGAATAAATTTAACTTAATAAACTTTGGTTGCCAGTGACTGGTAGAAGAGTCAAAGTGGACCTGGGAACTAAAATCAGTATAGTCCTATTTTGATTTTAGCAACTCAAATGTAATCGGCTTTGGTTTTATTTAGGAAACAATCCTTGACCAATATTACCAATTACTTGAGGAGTTGTAGGGGAATACAGTTTCTCAGACTTTTTAGTTGGAGATTGAAGTCAAGAAAGCCTAGCAGGAAGTTCCTGAAACTGAATCTGCAATAGGAATTCTTACATATCTATTAATCTGATCATTTGTGGAGATATATTTTGACATTCTCAACATTAACTATCAAGTTAACTATCAAAATTGGTTACTTAGCTATAGATTCATACCAAACAAATGACTTGACAGCATATTCCTGCAAGTTTAAAAAAGAAAGAAAACTGTCAGCAATATAACAAGCTCTATGTTAAATAATTTGAAACATAAAATAGCAAACTAGATTTATTTTAGCTAAAAGGAAAGTGCTTATATCCATCTCTTCATATATCATTCATTCATTAATTCATTTTTTTATTCGTTGAGCATTTACACTGCTTTGTACCCTCTTAAGGGCATCAGATGCAACAATTAAGTGTGAGTCACTGCCATGAAATGGCTTCTCTGAAATATTGGTGTCTTGGCTGGAGAAAAAAATCATATTTAAGATAATATGATTAAAAGCTACTTAGCATTTAAACAAAACCCAGTAGTGTGAAGATACTACCAGGATGGTAGAATATCGGGTCTTGACGGGGCTGGGAGGTGTTAAACACATAAATGTTTTAACAAATAAAGACAGAAGGGACATAGTAACAAAAATTGACTCCCTCCTTTTTTTTTTTTTTTTTAAATCTCAGGATCCCTTTACATTGCTAAAAAGTATTGAGTTTTCCAAAGAGTTTTTGTTTATGTGGATTATACCTGTTGATGTTTATTGCACCCAAAATTAACCTGATAATTTCCAATATATATGCTTTTTCATTCATTAAACGTTAATATAACTAACAAATATTTTTTGGATAAATATAAATGGTTTTAAATAAAATAGAATAGTTTAATTGCCTAACACTTGCAAATCCCTTGGTATTTGACTTAATAGAGGATAAGTGGATTCTTTTATCTGATTTTCTACTCAATTTGTTAAGAAACATGAATTGAAATATGAGGAAGGCCCAGCTTTATACAGGAATGTAACTGGAGGGGAGAAGTGTATTTCAATAGCCTTCCCATAAAATTTTGGATATTTTTGATGAAACATAAAAACTCCTATCTCAGTTAGAATATGGAACCTGAAACATATCAATGAACTCTTCTCAATGAACTGATAGTATCCCAAGGCCACACCATGAGAACACTTGGATATAAAGGAAATAACATTAGATCAATCAAACCAATTACCAGTCTATAAAATCAGATTGCCTAAGTCTTTCTAATTGTTATATGAAAAACTCATGTTGTAATACTTGACATTTTAAATCAGCTGATTTGCAAATCAATATAAGGTTTTGTACAAAAGTACTAAATTAATTTAAATATGTTGGTTATCTTATACAGATAATTATAAATTGTCACATTCAAAGCTAGAATAATGTAATGCAAGTAGTCTAGTAAGCTTAACTGCTATGATTCATGCATTTGACAAATATCTATCAAGAGCCTTCTGAGTCCTAGGTACTATTATGGATACTGGACATGCAGTATGGAACAAAACTGGCAAAAATCACTTCTTTTTGGAACTTACACTCCAGTGGGAATAACAGACCACAAATGAGATAATTAATTAAAAACTGAAACATGTTATACAGAAGTACTATGGACAAATATAGAGCAGGAAGGAAGATAGAAAATATGGTGTGTTAGGGATTGCTGGTTGGAACGTCATTAGATGGTGCATCCAGGAAAAGCCTCAATGAGAGAGGAAGATTAATGTAAAGAGCAAAAGAGTCTTAGGAATCAATCCATGAAGCTATCAGGGAAGAGTTTTCAAGGCAGAGGATAGCAAGTGCAAAGACCCTAAGTTGGATGCATACCTTGTCTGTTTAAATAAAATGGACAAAGAGAAATAAGTAGGAATGAGTTCAGAGAAGGTAGGAGGAAAGGAGGAGACAGAGCAAGGGCAGATTACATAGGATTTCTAGCTCTGAAAAAGGACTTTGGCATTTACTCTGAATGAAAGAGAAAACTACTGAGAATTTTGAGCAGAAGGGTGACAAGATGCCACTTGTGTTTTAACAGGATCACTCTGGCTGCTGTACTGAGTACTCACTGAAGGAGTGCCAAGTTGGAACACTCAGGATACTTTCAGCTACAAGTAGCAATATATCAAACCAAAAGTGGCTTAAGCAGTTAGGACATTTAATATTTCTCCTAACATGGGCTCCAGAAAATGAATTAAGTAGTTCCCCAGTGTTGCTAAGAACATGAAGGCTGTTTCCTTTTTTGCTGATGGCACAATGTCCAGGTGTCTATTGAACATTCCTTCAGGCCTGCATATGGGCTGCCTTGGCTCCTTGCATTACATGCTATTTTGACAACATGGTTTCTGTTGGGGGCGGAGGTGGCTCTCATTTATATGGGAATAATATGCAACCTAGCTTACTAAAATATCCACCTTTAAATACCCATATGTGAATGGGAACAGTATGACCAAGACTGGTTTTAGCCTTGCTATGTGTCATGTCACATAGCAAATAATGATAGAGGTATGAGATGTTAGAGCAAACAGACAAGACTGCAGAAGCCTGGAGGTGTTCTGTTTATGGCATTTGGCCATGTTAAGACTCACTTCGCTGTCATGACAGCTGAAGAATCAATGTCTCAGCATGTTTGTAACCCTCCTCGGTGCCATAGCACAACTGATAAGCAGAGCTGCTGCTTATGTTCATGTAACTTGGTACCTGGCCAAGAGTTTTAGTAGGGGCTGAAGTTCAGTCTGGATTCTTCTCAACAGACTGCGAGCCCCAATGGAAGGTGAATTTTTTTCTGTTCATCATCCTTGAGTTCATAGGATGATTTTTTATTGTAATTTGCGCAAAGGTTCTCTTTAGGCTAGTTGTACCCTGGTTTACTACTGGTTTTTCATCCCTGGGCATAATACATGAACTAAATCAGAAGAAGAGGTGGACGATTGTTTGCAAAGTATCTAAGTGTCTGTCATGGAAATATTTCTTAAATGGGCAGATATATGTTAGTACTTTTAAAAAAAATTTTATGTATTTTTAATTATACTTTAAGTTCTGGGATACATGTTAATACCTTTTTTTTAAGAAATTTGTGGATATGAAAAATAAATTGTGGATTATAAACTTTCATATATTTATCTGGTTATCATGTCATTATTGCTATAGCATCAATGTGTTTAATAGTTTTTCTAACAACCTATTTTGATTATTTTATTAATTACAAAGGAGCACTTCATGGGTTTTCCTAAAAAACAATATCTAAAGGTAAAGTTTAATGTTTATAGAGGCAATTTAAAGTTAATTTCTTAGTCAATCCAAATTCTTAATATTATTTATACAGTAGTTTATGAGTAGACATATCAGCAATTAACATAAACTAAAAGAGTAAACTTGTTACACATAAATGCAAGGGGAATGGACTGATAAGAGACAAAGGCAGAGCTTTGAGGTGGGTCTGATAATTATAATTTTCTTTAGTTTTTTAAAAGAGCAATTAATGGCTTTCAACTGTTATTAAATTTTGAAATAAATAATAAAAGTTTATTTTCAGAAACATATGTTAATAATTAATTTATTCTTTTGAGAATATAAAACCCTAGCCATGAAACTAGCACCCAAGACAGAAGTATTTTCTTAGCAAAAAAGGGTGTCACAGGTAGCAGGGAATAGCTGGCAAAAACTGCTAGAAACAAACAAACAAAAGAAATGGGGAAAAAAATCATAGCTACTACACAGCAGAGACTTAAACATTTGGAGATAATAAAAAGATCATATATTTTTCAAATACACAAGTAATGATAAATTTTAATAACCTCCAACAAATATAAGAACCTAATGATATTTTATGGATTCTATTTATAAAGGAAGAGAACCTCAGCCTAAGCAGGCAAAAATGCCTTTATCTACGTCTTTCTTAGCCTACAGGTCAAACTCCTAACATTCCTGTTCACCTGGCCTAACCTTCATTATCTAGCTCAGACATTTCAGAGATGTTTCACTTCATCCTATCTCCCCTGAACTACCAGCCAGATTGAAGGTCCCTTTGTATTAGATATTATCCATAATATTAGTTATTAGGCAACCCCATAGACACCATCCCTGTTCCTACTACCACCAGTCCCTATTCTAAATTTCATTGTCAACACTGGAAGGAATTACTGATGGGATTCAGAGTATTCTGGAGTCATCACAAACAGTTCGACCTGTCAGGCACTGGGGTGGACAATGCACACTCCTAGGAAAATAGTCACATCCTTCTTTTATTTTGTGGCCATTTTTGTATCCATGGTAAGATAAATAAACAAAAGGGCTTAGAAGGAATTTCAGAGTTTATCAGATTAGCACCTCTTTACCAAACAACTAATTTATCTTATTACTGACACACTAAAATTAATCATAACTTAAGGAAGATGTAAGATTTTTTTTATTGTGCAATGATCTAGATACATTTTTAATCTAGAACTTTTCAGTGATTGTTTCTAATAAATATAAATACTATTCAGTTGACAAGAAGATGGATTGGAGTTTTCTAGTCAAACAGACCCGTGTTGCCATCCAGGTTCCAACCTTTCTATCTGTGTGACTATAGACAGCATAATTTGCTTCCCTGAGCTGATTTCTCTCATGTCACCTATTACGGATTCAATAAGTTATTAATGTCCTTTAACAAATTTAGCAAATATCAATAGATCAATCTTGTACAGGGTGCTAGGGATTGGCAGCAAATAAGAGATAAGCTCTGTATATTTTAAATATAAAAGGCTGCTTTTTTCATTACTTATATATTGTCAAAAATTCTGCCATGAAATGTTCATAGTTCCTAATTTTAATCCTTGTACCAATTGGCAATAGACAACTTCTTTTCTCCATATATATGTGACTCATAAAGGGCAAAGGGCAAACAATTCAACCAGCTCCAAGATACTTTTGTACATAATTACCTTCTCCAATATTGCCCTTCACATAGACTCTAAATTAGTGAAACTATTCCATCCTATGCCTATATTTTGTATTTTTCATGTATTAAAATTTCCCTGCTTGGCTTACTTTTTTGTGGCAGGGCTGTGGCAGGACTGGCTGTGGTGTTTGTCCCTCTGGTCTCTCTGAGTGGCATCCTCGTTGCTGCAGTGACACCTGACCTCACCACCACCATGACAGAGCAGAAGACCCTTTGTGACACTCTTGAAGGCCACAATACCTGAGTAACCAGATCGCTACTGCCCTGGACATGATACAGTCCACCTCTTGAGACAAAATCATCATCATGTGGACATTGAACAGGGACGAAACCAACTATGGCATCCCACAGCATGCCCTGGAGGGTCATTTCCACTTTGTCTATGACAAAATCATCTCTTCAGGTGGCCACTTTTTCCTCTCAGCCTCCTGAGATGGAAACCTGTGCTTCTGGGATCTGACAAAGGGCACCACTATGAGATGATCTGTAGGCCATACCAAGGACGTGTTGAGTGTGGCCTTCTCCATTGACAACCTGTAGATTGTCTCTAGATCCTGAGATAAAACCGTCTAGTTATGGTTATAACCCTGAGTATATACAAATACACTGTCCAGGTGGAGAGCCACTCAGAGTAGGTGTCTTATGTCCACTTCTCACCTAACGGCAGCAACACTATCACCTCTGTAGCTGGGACAAGCTGGTCAAGGTACGGAATCTGGCTAACTGCAAGCTGAAGATGAACCACTTTGGCCACACAGTCCATCTGAACACTGTGACTGTCTCTCCAGATGGATCCCTCTGTGCTTCTGGAGGCAATGCTGGCCATGCCATGCCATGCCATGCGATCTCAACAAAGGCAAGCACCTTGATATGCTATGTGGTGGGAATATCATCAATGCCCTGTGCTTTAGCCTCAACTGCTACTGGTTCTGCGCTACCACAGGCCTCAGCATCAAGATCTGGGACTTAGAAGGCAAGACCACCATAGAAATTAAGCAAGAAGTTATCGGAATCTGCAGCAAGGCAGAGACTCCCCATTGCACCTCTCTGGTCTGCTGATGGCCAGACTGCTGGCTACATAGACAATCTGGTGCAAGTGTGGCAGGTGGCCATCAGCACCTGCTAGATATTTATGGCAGAACTTTAGGTTTCTTTCAACTGACTTTCTGATTTAAAACAAAAAATCTTCCTACTTTAATCATTATTAACTTCCCCAGCAGTGAAACATAAAGAGATGGGGAGAAAGTATTTAAGTGGCTGTTCATATTATGAAACACAGTTTTTGCTTGAGTTGCCGGACTGCTTAGCTTGAGGACAAGTTGGAAATGGAAAAAGGAATCACTGCCTTTTGGTCTTGCTATGTGTGTTTTATTATGATTGAGAGAATATTACTTAAAATAGCTTTTATGGTGCCTTATTGAGGGGGTGGGCTATATGCAGGCAGATTCCAACACAATTTGTAAGTTGATCACAGTAGAATGATCTGGTTTTCTTGTATTACATTAATGAATGTGGAATGCTTGTAGAATCAAAAATATTATTTTAAATTTCTGTTTATGTAACTCCAGGGTATTAACTGAAATCAAGATCAATTACCTAGTAATATGGTCAAATTTAAATCTTAAACACTTTTGAGAAACTTAAAAAAAACAAACAGCTACAAAAATACTGTAACAAATTCTTACATAGAATCCATGATTATCAATAGAAACATTTCATCATTTTAACTTTATCTATGAAATAAATTAAGCATGACAGATAAGGTTGTCAACCATTTTGTTCTCTCTTCTAATCCCATTCCCTCATTGCCAGAGGCGCTGACCATCCTAATTTTGGTGTGCTTCTTAATGTCGCATTTTGCTCCACATATTTTTGTATTGGAATTATTTACAAGAAGCACTCATTACTTTAGAAATAAACACAATTTTATGAAATATCTGGCCTAAATTATGTTGAATTAAGCCAGTTAAACATATCAATTCAAAATATCTACTTTTGGAGTATACCTAAATTTCAAATTGGCTATATATATGGTTATTTAAATGTATCAATTTCTTTATCACTGTGTTAAGTAAAAATCACAATATTTATGCATACTTCCATGTATAAGTTGTTTATAATTAGCTGTTTTATCTTAAGTATATATATTAGAGAAGATGATTATAGTATTGCTTCTAGGTTATTTTGTTAATTTGAAAATCAGATTAGATTTTTAGACATCTAATTTGATATTATACAGATACAAGAGAATAGGAATTTTGTACAATTTAAGATTATTAATTATAACATGATAATTTTAATAGATATTGATTTCAGTAAAAATTGAACCTGAAATTAATAGAATGTTGAAGATACTTGTATATACATCACTGTTGCCTGAAATATCAACCGTAGTACAAAAAATGCATTCTAAATAGAACTGAAGAAGTTTATCTGCTGAAACGAGACTGCAGAAGACATTATGCCACCCGCTATTTCCAGGGTATTTATAGGATTCTGACATTCTCTAAGCTAAACACTTTCTATAAAGTTCATTGCAGCCAAGACTACTCACTTCTAGTAAGTACCATAAGCAAACCAGAGGTTGCATAGTGCTGTTTTCTTTCTTTGTTTTCATTTGCTGCTAACAGTGTTTTGAGTCATTCTGACTTTGGTAGAGTTAACTCTGCCTGTTTGATATTTTGAGAATTTTTAGGTTTCTGCTATCTTAACTGTTTCTCTGACTTTCAGCTTAAATCTAAAGGCATTAGAGTGCCCTTTAGAATCCCTAAGATCTACTCACATCGAGTTCACAGCATTGCACTGGTCCTTTTGCCTACATATTAATTCTTAGTTTCTAGACTTTCAACATATTCCAAATAAGTATGTGTGTCATAAAAGAAGCATTACATTCAAAGTTAGAAGGGAAGGATTCTTGTCATAGCCCTCTCCCCTAAAAACCAATAAACTTTATAAAACTCATTAATTCCCATGTCTCAGGGCTGTGGGCAGAACCAAATGAGAAGTGAATGTGAAAGTCTTTAATATGCAAAGCAGAGTATCTTATGTTGTCATTTGTCAGTTCTAGATTGTTTCAAGACAGTGTCTTTCAAAAATGAGATTGTAAATGGTACTACGCAATTGGTAGTTAACTCATCGAAATTCTATTCATCTGAAAAATATCTGATGCTTAGTAAAAGAAAGCACATTATAATTCTCACTATTATTCATATATTATCAAAACAAGACAGACTTTTATCATTTCTCTTCATTATGGAGTACTAATAATTTATAAGCTTATTGCAATTAAAACTGCTTAATACCAAAGATTACTTAACTGCAAACAAGATATGAAAAGAAAAAAAATATTTTAAGCATCTGAGCAAAAAATATATCTCTAATTTGTTTTTGTCACCTATGCTGTCGTAGTAATATCCTTTCCTGCAGTTGGTAGTCAAATATTTCCACAACATAGTCCTATTATCATTTTTCAAATTTATTTTTTTTAAATAGTAAGAATGACCATTAATTAAACTGACTCCAAATACTAAGTATTTTACATGCTTTAGTTTATCCCCATCTTACAGGAAAATAGAGATTTCAAGAAGTTTAGTAACTAGCCCAAGATCACATAGTTACTGAGTGAGGCTGTTTGGGTTTTATCCTGCCCATGTGATTCTAATATTCCTTTTTAAACCCTATTCACTCTTCATGCCGCCCCCATACATGTGCCCTTCATTTTAGTCCAGTGGTTCTCAGTACTGGCTGCACATTGGAATCACTCAGGAGCTTAAAAACTTCTGATGCCAGGACCCCTCTCTCAGCAATTGGGGTTGAATTTGTCTGTGGTGGAGATTTGTGATGATGTCTGAGCCTAAGTTTTAAAACCTCCCATGGGTGATTGTGATGTATAAACAGCACTGAGAATCTCAGATTTGGCCAAAATTATCCACTTTCTAGATAATTCTTTGAATGATACTATGCTTTCCTATTGCCGTAACATTTGCTCATGCTCATGCTCATGCTGGGAGTAAAGTTGCCTAGTTTATAAAACAAGGGCTTTGGTGTAGGACAGAAATAAATAGTTCTGATTCAGTGCCCATTACTAACCTATCACAGCATTCAGGTATATACAGTGAGAATGAAGCTCTTGCAACATAAGCTTCTTCATAAATATTTAAAAATGAGAAAAATTATATGCTATAGAATTATTGTGAAGGGTATATCAAGCAGATAAATTACAGATACAATTATATAATTTGGGCTTCAAGATATTATTCATGTAGAAAACATGCTTCAAGTAAGTATTGCAAAAGGGTAGTTGTCCATAGGCAGAAATTCATTGAGTATATTCATATGTGTCTGATATAAACTTCATGTTTGCCTCACACACCCAGAAGAGACATGAAGTATGAAAGAGCACTTCCAGAGGGGCTGCTCTGGGTGAGGTAAGAGATTTCAATGGTATAGCGACTCATCAAGTTAATATAAGAAAGGTTCTTCTGACTTCCTCATATATTTGCCACTTGCCCATTTACTTAAAACTAAATTGAACAGCTAATAAGTTTGCGAGCAAGATCATTTCCAAGCAATACACCAAATCAGACTGTTAACTGTCCATTAGTATAGGCAAAATAGCTCTTATTAAGTTGGGCCTTCGTTGGTAATGCCTTTTCTCATTCTACCTCCACCTGTCAAAATTCTCCATCATTATCTTTCAACACCCATCTCAAATGCCATTTTTCTTTTTTAATGTTTCCTGAATACAAAGATAATAGCTAATGACACTTTTAGTCTCTCTTGTATGGGTGAAGTTGAATACAAAAAAAAGAAGGAATCTGTATTATTCATTCATTCATTCAAATGTAATTTATTGAGAAATATACACTGGGCAAGAGGTTATGATTTTTAAAATACTGTTATTCTGCTTATCAGTTTATAATTAAGTGGGAATAACAGACATAAAGTTCACAGTTGAAGTTTAGTGTGACACCTGAGATAATGTGACACCTGAGATAACAGAAACAGTTGTGGATATAGTGATAACATAAAAGACAACATGATCATCAATATCTCATATGTAGATGTGTCACAAAAGGTTTCACACACATGAATATGATTGAGGTCAGTTTTGCAGCATCTTTTGGATAACATAGTTTTTAGCGGCAAACATAGCATTGGCCTGACTCTACCACTTATAATTCTGTAAACTTGGACATGAAATAAAACTCCTCTGTATCTGTTTCCTCACTAAATTGCCATAGAACTTACATTAAATAATATGTGTAAAAAAATTGGCAAGGCTGGACGCAAGGGCTCACACCTATAATCTCAACACTTTGAGAGGCCAAGGGAGAGGATCACTTGGGCCAAGGAGTTTGAGACTAGCATGGGCAATATAGTGAGACACCATCTCTCCAAAAAAAAAAAGCCAAATATCTAACAACATAAGGCAAGAAGCCATCAACAAATCCCAGTAGTTTTGATACAAATCAATTAAACATTATTATAATGGCATTCCAGATAAAATATAAGATTTGAAAAAATAAGGAAGCATAAAAACAATCTCAAGGAATTGTCAGCAATTCTCATAAAATTAAGCATTAGATATTTATGAGGAGATATGGCCTTATGAGAGATATGGCTAGACAGGTAGGTTAAGACTAGAACTTAAAGGTTTTGGTAAGGTCATCCTATGGATAAAGTAATGTCATCTAGGATAAGTACAAACTTTATCCTGAAGAAAATAGGAGTAAGGTGTATGGAGAGAATGGTATTAAAAGTTTTGTAGAGAGGAATAATATGATCCAATTATAATTTTTTAAACCCACAGCAATGTAGCTGATAAAAGCGGGGATAAAATGCAGTGAAAAACTAAATGAATTAAGCCAAATAAGAAAAAAATATATAGAATTGCTGGTATTTACAGTTAAAGAAAATTTTAAGGGTGAATATGAGGAAGGAAACATACTAAATTGAATTTTAAAAGACAGATTGAACATGACTTAGTGGCCAGCTGGATGTGAATGTGAGTAGTGTAGGGTTAATGGTGACTCCTGGGTCCCTGAATTGTGTAACTAGGTGAAGGTCATTGAAGGTTTTAACCATCCAAGATGGTTAAAACATGGGACTAGATTTTAAAGATAGTAGATGAAGTTCTAAGTTACATGAAGGGCAGCTAGGTAGTTATGTACAAAGTAAACCTTAGAAGAGAGAGAAGAATTGCAGATACATGCACACTATATCCCTGTTTTTAAATTTAACAGTTTTTATTTATTGTAAAGTTATTTCTCCTCAATTTTCAATACAGCAGAGCTTTGTAAGTTGTTAATGAGTTTAATCTTTTACTAAATCCACAAAAACTCTTTCATAAACTAGTACTATTAGAATCCCCATTTTCCAGAAGAGTTATGTAAACTTTAAACAGTGAATGAAAAGGTAGAATTTGAATCTAGACCACATGAATCAAATGCCAGAACTCTTTTAGTAGCAAATATTTACGCATCATTTCTTAGAAAATACTTAAGATATTTGTAATTTTTGTAATTTTAGCATATTTAACCTTCATTTGCAAACACTCCTCCCTTCTCCTTGTGGAAACCTTTACCAAACTCTGACATTTATTTTGCCTGGCTATATAACAGACAATCAGTATACATAAACCTGAAAACAAGGAAACATGCATTAATGTATGAGCAATAATAAGGTTTTAATGTGAATAAATTTGAAGACAAATGGGTTAAAGTACATTCGGCATAAATGGGTTAAGGTACATCTTTAGTAAAATGTACTTTTTTTTTTTTTTTTTTTTTTTGGTGAGACAGAGATTTACTCTTGTTGCCCAGACTGGAGTGCAATGGTGCGATTTCAGCTCACCACATACTCCGCCTCCCAGGTTCAAGTGATTCTCCTGCCTCAGCCTCCCGAGTAGCTGGGATTGCACGCATGTGCCACCACACCCGGCTAATTTTGTATTTTTGGTAGAGATGGGGTTTCACCATGTTGCCTAGGCTGATCTCGAACTCCGGACCTCAGGTGATCCACCTGCCTTGGCCTCCCAAAGTGCTGGGATTACAGGCATGAGCCACCATGCTTGGCCAGTAAAATGTACTTTTAAAAACAATATTGCTCTTTTGTTTGTGAGGGGTTTTTTTTTTGGTTGGTTTTTTTTTGGCTTTTTGTTTTTTTCTTTCCTTTTTTTTTTTTTTTTTTTTTTTTGAGACAGGGTCATGCACTGTCACCTTGGCTGGAGTACAGTGATACGGTCACGGCTCACTGCAGCCTCCTGGACTCAGGTGATCTTTCCACCTCAGCCTCCCAAGTAGCTGGGACTACAGGTACACACCACAATGCCCAGTTAGTTTTTATTTATTTATTTATTTTGTAGAGATGAAGTATCATCATGTTGCCCAGGCTGGTATTGAACTCCTTTGCTCAAGCAATCCCCCTGCCTCAGCCTCCCAAAGTATTGAGATTACAGGTATGAGCCACTACACCCAGCCCCAATGTTATCCTTTAAGTATAATAAGATTATAACATTTCAGAAATCAACATGTGTTAGTACAATATTTTATAACATTCAAAGATGGAAACTAAAGTAAATTTCCTATACCTACCTTTATTTAAATTAATAGGAAAATCAATGTGTGGCATAATCCTTTCAAAGGTAGAAACTTATGTTTTTAACTAGCTGATACCAAGACTTGTCATTTGTCTTTCTGATGTTTAAAGTAGCTACCTTCTAGCTTTCAGCAAGCCCATTTTATTAATTTTCAAATTGGTCAATCATAAATCAAATATTGACTTTATATACACCCATATATGCCCACACATGCTCATACACTTACTAAGCACAATAATGTGCACTTATGTAACACAGTTATCTTTAATGCTTAGGATATATCTTGTGCACATAAAATGTCAAAGTTTATATCATATTAATAAGAATATGATGGAGAAATATAGTAATATTTATTTGAGATTTTTTAAAAATCCTGGGCACAAAAGGAAAGTTAAGAATGTATTTCTATCTTGTAAGAAATTCTGATTTGTTCAAAGAGTCAATAAACAAGTATATTGTGCCAATTATGAATACATTGATTATCACATCCAAATCCACCCCCCACTGCCTGCTCTACAATAATGGAGATGGGTTTGATAAATATTTCTCCCTTGTGAACTTGCACATTTTGAGCTCTGTCAGTACATGACATTGGGGGGACACTAGAGGGAGAAAGGTTTCTCTTTCTGGTCCTAGTGTGCTCCTCTCAGCATGCAGCTTCTTTAATACCTGGCTCCTATAGAACATGGTGGCTAGAAGCACCCAGACACTGTGTCTGATGGCTTTTCAGTGAGTTCCGAAGCCCAGCACTTCCTGTGGATGGCATCTTCCACACCCCCTTAAGTTGCTTTGCATTAACTTTCAATGTGCAGTCTCCTTGTGGATAGCATTTTCCATTACCCTCTCAGATAGCATAGCAGTGAAGTGTTGCCAATGAGGCACCTCTACGAAGATGGCACCCCTTAGATGGCTTTGAAGAGGAGTGCTGCTGGTTAGGATCCTCCCTATGGGTGACTTATTTGGAATCCCAGAGGAAAACATTTCCAACAAGTCCTGCTGTTCCAGCACCTCAGCAATTTGTCCACCAGCCAGTGAGCCACGGGCATGTCCTCACAAATAAAGTTTGGATATCAGCCTTGCAGGGGATGAAGAGGTTCTTTTTGGGTACCTCTCAGCTTCAGAGGCAATGGTTTCTCCTTATAATTATTATTACTATATTCTTTAGACTCCTCTTTAGTTATTACTAGCTAATCTTCCATTACATAAATACTGTATTATATCTACTTATTCTTTATGTAAAACTTTCTCCAAATTACTGTGTGGGTTCTATCTGTTGGTAGGCCTCTGACTACCACATACATCAAAAGTAAAATAAGATCCAATCCAAGGATCAAGTCACAATAATACAAGACACAAATACAAAATGTGCCCACTCCATGGCATAAAAGAAATAGCAAGTGCTGCAACAGAAAATGAAAGTATCAGTAAAATGCTTCATGGACTTTGGGTTAGATCTCCAAGGATAGAGGACATTTTTTTTCAGATAGAGAAGAATAGGGAAAACTTTCTGTGAATGACTTAACAAAGGAACTCTGCTTACATTGTTAGGGAATCAATGAGTAGGAACAGAGAACTGGCAGGGTAAATGTAGAAGATTAATTAGGCTAGAAATATATGGTAAGATCAGATCCAAAGAATCTTTCAATGCGATGTTAAGGATTTTGCACATATTATATAGACACTGGTAAGCTAAACAGATTTTCACCTCAAAATACGTTTCCTTTAGAAACTCAGTTTTATATTAGATACTTTATCTGTGGACACTGACTTATAATATGGTTCTGCCTGATTCTAAAATGAAATCATATGCTTACATCTTAAAAAGTGTGTGTGAGTATATGTGTGTGTGTGTGCGTGCGTGTGTCTGTACTGAAGTTAAATGAAGAATTCTGATAAATCTGAATGGATATAAATATGTATTCAAAAGCAAAACAGCTGAAATAATTTGTCAGAGATGCCAGATACTAAGAGCATTATTTGTATTATGAATATTTTGATTTTGGTAGGTGTTATGAATTGAATGTTTGTATATCCAAAAAATTTTATATGTGAAATCAAATCCCCACAGCATACGGAGTTAGGGTCTTTGGGAGATAATTAAGTAGAACCTATTAATGAAATTAAGCGCCTGTATAGCTTGCTCTCTTTCTGCTGTGTGAGGATATAAGTTGGTTGTTTGCAACAAGGAAGAGGGCTTGAACCAGAACCTGGCCATGCTGACGTTCTGATCTCAGATGTCTAGCCTTCAGAATTGTTAGACATAAATGTCTGTTGTTTAAGCATCCCAGTCTATGGTAATTTGCTATAGCAGCCTAAATTGACCAAAACAGTGGGTGACCAGGAAATATATTTTTATCATAATTTCCTTCACAGTCCATATTGTAAACATCAGTTATAGTTTAAGAACTGCAGGGCATAAAGATTTGACATTTCAAGATAGAGTCTGAAGGAAATCTAAAGGTATATACACATATCTTAAAAAGCCACAAGTAAAAGTGCACATTATTCACTATCCAGAGGAACAGAATTGAGTCCTGGATACTATCAAAGTCATAAAATGACATAAAATGGATATTACCTAGGGGTTTAGATAATGCATTCTTTTCCCATTTTGTTAAGCTCTGAGTGAGACTGAACTGTCAGACACCTGTCAAGTAGAAGGAAACTTCAAGCAACACCTTCAAGAAGTAGCAAATTAAGTATCTGTCAACGAGTTATTGGACTGAATGGGAATGTCAAACATGCCAGAATTATAGACACTTTCTGTATCAAGTTGCAAGATTATTTATAAAGAGTTGTATACCTGTACAGCATAAATCAGTTTTTCATTCATCTGATGCTAGTGATCTTATCATCACTATATATAATTCAGCTTGGATAAGAAAACAAAAATCACCATATAAAGTTGCTTTATTAAAACAGGGGTATTATGCTAAATTAATTATTGGTATTTAAATACTACATTTAAAATCACAGTGGTAATAGTGTAATGAAAATATACATGTAAAATTTGCATTTATATGATGTATGGTTTCATCCATGTGTTGATTGTAATTTTTAAATCCAAATACATTTCCATTTTCTCAGGGAAGAGAGTTCCTATCACCAAAAACACCCTCCTCCCATGGAAAGAATGTTTTGATTAAATCTGTTTCACTCTTTTTTATTTATCCGATTTGGCAGATCATTTTCACCACTTAAGAATGTTTTTATAATCTATATTACAATATTAAATCAGAGTGATTTATTTTTAAATGTCTAAACTGACATATATCTCACTCACAGATAATAAACATCCACTTACCTTTCTTGGGAAAATGCTGATATTCATATATTAAAGATCTTCACATATTTATTTGAAAATCAGAGTTCCTAATAAGCTATTGCTAAAAACAATGTTCATTCACGTTCACATAAAGGTTGTACAGATTTTCTAAGGCGAAGCCTTTTTGGCACATGTTATTTTTAATATATAGAATATTGTAGGGAGCAAACAAATGGAGTTTACTTATGCAAAATGCCTATTCTCAAGATTTAAAAATTTGGTAGATGATCCTTACTGGTACTGCCTTTCAGATGACTGAATGTGACAGTCTCTAATTACAGATAAGTACATCTTTAAAATTGAATCTAAGCATAAAGAAGTACGTCACGATTTTGAATTATTTGATTACCTCTTTGCTACTTTTAAATTGTTAACAGACATTTGTTCAATGATATTCACATTGTTAAATATGTCTCCCATTTTCATATGATTTTACTTTAATTGTCGACTGTTTATATTTTACTCACAATAAAATTATATTATAAAATGCAATTACTTTAACTGGCATAAGTTCCTGAAGAAAAAAATCATATAGGTCAATTTTCCTGACTCATTATTCAGCCATCAATACAATCCTGGACCTCTAGTGAAAAACACAAAACTGAGTCAATTTGTTTTTGAGAAATACTAGGATATTTGGAATCATTTAGGTAAATTTGGGGGTTAATGACTGATTTGATATACATTTCAGTTTATCTCAGTGAATAGACAATTACAAAAATAATGTCCTCCCTCACATTTTGTTTTAATGCATGCAAAACAGACAAAATACAAAAGAAACAGTAAAGAAAGCAATTTTACAGATAATACTGAAAATATTAAGTAAAAGAAAATTTGGGTATGAAATATACTAAAACACGGAATTTTCCTTTTCCAATGCATATACACTGGAGTCAGAGTAAAAAAGGTATGGATATGTTTTACTATTATTTAAAAGAAAAATTATAGTATAAAACTACATTTTTAGTTAGAAAATTATACTTTTTATTTCAAGGATTTCAGGGACAGTTGCATACTGCAAAAAGATATTTTTGGATTAAGTACCTAAATGCTCTAAGATTTATCTTAGATATGGTACCAGGTGAACTAAAAATCTTGATTCTAGGCCAGGCACAGCAGTTCATGCCTGTAGTTCCAGCACTTTGGAAGGCCGAGGCAGGTGGACTGCTTGAGGCCAGGAGTTTGAGACCAACCTGGCCAACATGGTGAAACTTCATCTCTACTAAAAGTACAAAAATTGCGTGGTGTGCACCTGTAGTCCCAGATAATCTGGAGGCTGAGGCATGAGAATCACTTGAACCCGGGAGGCGGAGGTTGCAGTGAGCCAAGATTGTGCCACCACACTCCAGTCTGGGCAATAGAGTGAGACTCTGTCTCAAAAACAAAATAAATAAATAAGTACGAAATAAAAATTTAAGAAAACAGCAAGCAAAAAATTAAAACCTTGATTCCTGCTAAAGAGAAATGTATTTTACAAAAGTAGTTATATAAGCTTTCATCCTCAAAGTTACTATTACACTTCCATTCATTTTTCTTACTGTGGTAAGAATTCATAAGATTGTCTATGAATCAGATTTACACACAACCTTGTATATCTACAAATGCCTCACAAATTTTATAATTTATGGGCTACCAGTAACAGTGCCAATGTGAAAAATGATAAAAAGTCATTGACACTTCTTTTTATTCTTTTTTAAAAATTGTATTATTTCAGTAGCTTCAGGGGTACAAGTAGTTTTTAGTTAAATAGACGAACTGTGTAATGGTGGAGTCTAGGATTTTAGTGCAACTGTCACATGAGTAGCACACACTATGCCAATTTTTAAAAATTCTTAAAGTGTGCTATAATTCCCAAAAATGAAAATATCTAACTGTGGTTAAAAAAATTTAAAATAACTCATAAATTAAGGATAGGTTCCGTGAAATTTGCAAAAAAAAAAAGTGCATCCTAAAAATCTCTAATTTCATCAAATTAGAAACTGTAACTGAATGAATTTTCAAAAAATTTTAAGTTCTTTCAGAGACATAAGTGACATTCAAATTTATATTGTTCAATCAAATATTAGATGATATAAATTATACTAAGTAGTCACAACATTGAAGTCATATTAAATCTGATGAAAATTATGCTTATATCTAATTGAAATTATGTTTAAAGTTGAAGAATTATCAATAGAACCCTCAGTATCTATCAGATGAAATACTATATTTTCAAAAATGAAAAGTGAACAGGACCAACGTTTGTTGAACATCTACAAGGTGTCAGGTCAGACATTAACAGGAATTATTAAGTTTATACTTCACTACACCTGGTGATATAAATATTATGATATATTTACAACATAAACTATACATTTTTAGATGCAATAAAGAATAAAATAGTGGAAAAATGCATGAGTTTGGTAGGTAATACCTTCAACTGCAGACTAATGCAACTATAGTGATACAGTGGACAAATAACAGCATAATGTAATTTTAAAATAATATCTTGTTTTATCCTATTTCTGTTTGGTTTGCCAATGTCAGATCAAGAAGGAGATTATTCATGCTATTTTTCAAACTGGGGCTGGATGGTCACCTATCAGGAGTATTGCGAAATGGAATGTTGCAATTTAGAACAGAAGACCATTTTGGAGGTCTCCTTCAAATCTAAGAATCTAGGATTTGAAATATTCAGGAAAGCTAATCAACTTCCCCAAAATATTAAACGTATATTCACTACTGTATCTCACAAATAACTGCAATCACTAACTGTATGAGTAGGCACTAAAATGACATTTGGGTCAAAGAAGATTCTAATAAATATTTATTCCACATTCCATGATAGTAAATTTTTAGTATAGTTCCTTGACAATAGTTCCCTCAGAATTTTTTATGCAGGTTCAATTTACTGCTGATTATTTTCATACTCCTAAGGCTCAATTAAAATTTATTTTTATTTGCAAAGTGGCTCAAAGTTTTAGCCATGAAAACTAAGATTTTTTAGTTTTAAATACTACTACATGCTATCTCTTAAAATGTTTGTTCTAAAGGGCATGGATAAGAAAATATTAATAAAATGTGATGCTTTTGAAGAGACAATTTAGCAAGATATTATATTAATATTTTGGCAGAGTATCTTTTCTTGCTCAAATCATGGACCTATTTCCGCAATTATACTATGTGAAAATATTTGTAAAATATGGCTAAAATTAAGGAAATTCATTTTTATACCCTATTTGATTTGTAAATTTGTTTGACCAAAATGCTCTCATCTAGGATATCCTTTGAGTGACTGTCTTATTTCTTCACTTATCCTAGCATAAATATTGGCCCAAAATATTTTGTTTTATCCAACTGAGAATATAAGTTTCTCAGTGTTAGCCAACATGGGAATAAAATAGTAAAAAAAAAAAAAATTCACGATCTTTTGCCTTATTAACGTGTGCATTTTGCTGGGTGAAAGTACCCAGAGATTTCATGTTCTGTGACCTCAAAACAATAGTGTGTATAATGATATTGAACCCAATACTTCAGTTATTTCCAGTACACTGATGTTTATTCAGTTGTTCAGTTCTCTGGTCCTGTTTATAAACTTAAGCTCTACAAAAATAAAGCAGAAACAATGAGTTCACTTTGACTTGAAAGTTTCTTCCGAAATGGAAGTTACCTTTTCTAATTAAATCACTTCCTTTGCTTAAATTTTACATCCCCTAAACATGTTTATTTCTAATCTAAAATAATTCTGGTGAAATATTTGTAAGCAGTGTTAATCATATATGCTGATCTTATGACTGAGTAACAAATTCTGATTTAAATTTACACCTTATTGGTACCATAAAATGTTTGACTTTTTTACTACTTTCCTATTGATTCTGTAACAAATTACCAGAAGCTTAGTGGCTTACCTCAACACGAATACATTATCTTATAATTATAGAGGCCAGAAAACCAAAATGGATCTTATGGAGTTAAATAAATGTTTCAACTCTGCTGTGTGTTCCTTCTGGAGGCTTCAAGGAGGGTTTCTTCCAGTCTCTAGTGATACCCGCATACCTCAGCTTACACCCTTTTCTTCCATCTTCAAAGCCAGCAGTTGCAGCACCAAAAAATCTCTCTCCTGCTCTGACACTTTTATCTCCCTCTTACAAGAACCCTTATGATTACAATATAATCACCCAGATAATCTGGGAAAATCTCCCCATTTCAAAATCCTCAATTTAATTATATCCGTAAAGTCCTTTTTGCAAGTAGGTAATATGTTCACAGGTTTTGGGGATTAGAACATGGGCATATTGGGGAGACATTATTCTGCCTACCACAATACTTAATAATGTTCATTTAAGCTGATTTCCACAAAATAATACATAGACAGACACATACGCACACATGCACACACACATAAACATGTGGGTAAATGTAGAAGTTAGAAAAACTATGTCTAAAAGAGAACGTGAAGTTGTTATAATGATATCCTACCCCTGCTGATTCTCTTCCGTCTTATTATTTCTTCAGCATATCTTATCAACGTCTCCTTTCACTTACAATTTGAGGGGACTTTTCTGCATATATGGTAAATTAATTGGCCAATGTCTCATGTCATGGTCATCTCTTTTGGTAGTGCTTTTGTATTTTTTAATATTATAGATTTTATTATGTGTATAAAATATTCACATATTCTTCATTTGAGAAATATTCCAATTACAACTCCTTGTATTCACTGCTTATTTTTTGCCTTTTCTTGCTGAGTCACTGATACTTACTTTGACATTTTTTTTGCACATCACATTTAAAATATGCACACAGAAAGAAAATATATTAAAAATATAAAAAAGGTACAAACTTTAATCAACATATATGTTGCCTAGGTAGTTTTATTTTTTATGAGTCCTCTGAAAATAAGCAAAGGGTACACTTTATCTGTATGCACAATATATAGATATTCCAGAAAAAGGTTATATTTAAAAAATGGTGCAGTAGGCCAAAATTTAAATACTCAATTTAAGTCGAACTCACATTGTTGAAATGATCAAATGACAAGAAAGCAATCTGTTCTTAAACATTTAAGGCAAATACATATATTGAGGCATGATCATATAACCTGAAATTTGGAACAATATTGGATGAATATGTAGAAAACTGAGCCTTTACAATTGCAAGAGAATAAAAGATGATTGATTTTCCAGATAATAGGTGAACAATTGACATATTTCTTTTAAATTCCCTATTCTATCCAAAATGCATGTTTTTATGTCCCACAACATATGTCATAGCTGCTTTCATCCCCGGACTTTTGCTTTTTTTTGGTCTCTGAAATGACTTCACCTCTGCCCTCTGCCTATCTAAATATTATATAACCTTCAATTTCAATTGTAATGATAACTTTCTTTGAGTTAATCATTTAAAGCTTTTGTTTTCTTATCTGCAAATTACAAATAATACTAAAACTTATTTGCAGAAGTTTTGAAAGTTCCATCAAAATACTATTAGAAATACTACTGAAGTAAAATTATTTTTTCAAACTATGAAATGTTGTCCAAATAATAATTATTAATATCTTAGATTATATTTGGTATGTACAATATATGTCAGGCTCTTATATATCTTAGGTCCTAATTATCATACTTAGCACAGAACATAAATTTCAAATAAGATACATTACTTGGTATAAAAGAAAATATATATTGTAATAGTGGAGACAGAAATATAAAAAGAAGGCTTATTTTCTTAAAAAAATACATACTAGGAAAGGGGTCAGCAGAAGGTATAATGGAGGAAGAACACCTATGTCAGTTTTGGAACAACAGATGAAAATAAGCCTATTGCATTTATACAATCTTTTAATATAGATAACAAGAACAATATAACCACAAGTCTCCAGTGTATTTTTAAAAATTCTTTGTGTAAGAGATAGTTTTCTAAGTCCTTCTTTCGGTATCCTAAGGAGTGAATGGAATCTCTTAAGGTAACGAAAATGTGATTTATTTAGATATCCGTGTGTGTGTGTGTGTGTGTGTGTGTGTGTGTGTGTGTGTGTGTGTCGATAGCCTATTTTCTAATAGATTTGACATAGTTTATAGCAAAGATGCAATATAACCCTTAAATCACAGTACATATAAAAGGGCCAAGAATAAATGATGTTTGAGAGAAATATTGTTTCAGATAATTTAGAATTTTGGGAATTTGTATATATTTGAACATAATGATGAGAGAAAAGATCAATACAAAATATGATTGTGTAGTGCCAGGAAGGTGATAGTAGGGAGAAAAAACAGTAAATACGATTTGCAGAGTTGAAAGGGAAATCAAAGAGATAATCTGAACTCTTGGAAAAAGAGCTCAAAAAAAATAACATATAGAGAAACTATGAGAAGTGTCAAAAAGAGGAAATTACTTTTTTTTCTTTCTTTTAAGAGAGAGTTTCACTTTATCACTCAGGCTGGAGAGTGCAATGTCAATGTCATAGCTCACTGCCTTCAACTTCTTGGCTAAAGTGATTCTGCTGCCTGGGCCTCCCAAAGTGCTGGGATTACAAGCGTGAGCCACTGCACCAAGCAAATCATCTTCCTTTAAACACCGTATAATAGGATTTTTAGAGATCAAGAGAACTTTAGAGGATCTAAATTCAGAATTTCCCAAACGATGTCTCCAAAATACATTTTATTAGTTGGCATTTCTTTCATAAAAATCGCTGATCATATACATTTGTAAAAAGTACCTCAAATGAAAGAAATGCTTTTGCTACATAAATTCTCAGACCCAATGCTGATGTGTCCTCAAAAGAAGGATGTTGTATTTCCCAAATGTATTTGACCACAATTCTCTTTTTATAGTAATTTCTATTAACACCAAAAAGAGAATTTTGGTGTTGGGAACAATAAGAAATCCCAATTTAATCCATTTATTTTATTTATGTTATTAAAATAACTGTATAAATGAGGTAGTTGAAGCACAGAGAGAGAGAGAGAAAAGTATCAAAAAAATCACACAGAAATTTGGTAAAAGAGAAATAACGATATCGTTGTAAAAAGCTGCACTGCAGTAGTTATTAGAAGGATAAACATAAGCAAATTTAATCTGTTTCTTAGTTTCATCATGTAGAAAATGAGATAATAATAGTTACCTATCTGCTAGACTTGTTTTGAGCATAAATTAGTTAATACTTGCAAAGCTTAGGATAGCTTTGGCCCATAATAAAAATCAGAAGAAATATTAGCCAGTATAAGTATTAGCAATGGAGTTTAGGCAATAACAAATAACCACATAAAGTTGGATAATGTAAGTTATCATTCCCATCAATTTTTCATCTTAAATGCTAACTGCTGACCTAGTAACAATAAAGACAAAATTGTTATTAAATTAGGTTATTAAATTTAGGCTCCAGCCTATTTACAAAAAGACTTCAACTAGGACACTTATGAATAAACTAGAAATACTTTACTTCCCACTTGCAGTTGCATTTGCAAACTCACAAAGCAATCTTGGTGAATTAATTAAGTTATACGATACTTGCTACTTTTTAGTTCTGTTTCCCAATTCTCATTTATATCTAGAGAATACAGAATTAAAGCAGTCTTACAGGAGAATACTAATCAAGAAAACAATTTCTTACTCAAAAGAAAAATAGTTTATTAAAATGCACATACTAAGTTTTGCTGTTATTGTTAGACTGAGTATATATCTGTACATAAACTCACCTAATAATTTAACCATTTTTTTTACTTATAACCAAACTAGACAATATCTTCTACAGAATTTTTCTCCTGACATATGATATAAATGACATTCAGCTCATAAATTGCCAGTATTCATATCTATTATAATTGTAATCCTTAAAACTAGAACTATTTTGTGCCTATGCAAAAAATATTAATGGTTATCTCTGAATTATATCCATCCTTTGAAATGTTTTGTAAAATACAATAATTAAATAGAATATTTTTCCATATGATTTAATTACTTTAATAACATAGTAAGATTATTTGTCTACTAAAAAATGATATGACCTTATTTGCAAAGAAGATCTTGGAAGACATCAAGTTAAGGTAAAGTCGTTAGGGTGGGCCTTAATCTGTTGTTACTGGTGTCCTTATATGAAGAATGAAATTTGGATGCAGATACACACAAAAAGAATACGATGTAATGACACAGACACAGAAGGAAGTCTGGCTTGTGGCAGCATCACTCCAATCTCTGCCTCTGTGAAGCCCAGACTGAAGTGATGCTGCCACAAGCCAAGAAATGCTAGGGGCTACCAGAAGGTAGATGGCACAGAAGAATCCATCCCTAGAGCCTTTGGAGAGAGCATGACTCTACTGACATCCTGATTTCAGACTTCTTGCCTCCAGAACTGAGAGAGAATAAAGTCTCATTGTCATTTGAAGCCACCCAGTTTGTGGAACTCTGTTACAGCAGCTCTAAGAAACAAATACAAAAAGAATGTATGGCTGTATACCTTTTAGCATTCAATGCAATAAAAGCAATTACTTTCATGCCTGGGGTCCCCCTTAAAAACAAGAAGATAAACACATGTGAGTGGGCTCCAGATAGAAGCAAAAATAAAATGCTCTGAAAATCTTTTCACTGAACTTAAAATTCTATAAACACACAGAAAAAGTTATTATATGAGGAGATACAAAGATTGGTTGATGGGGTACCTGAATTTCTAGAAATACATTTTTTTATAATGACATATGGGCTACCTATTATTAGGAAGAGTATCCACAGTTAGGAAAAGTTAAAACAAAAATGACATCAAAATAATATATTTTCTTTCCCGTCTTTGTTATATTTAACATTGAATCTATATAAATAATTAAACTTCTATTTACATTTGTGTTAAAACTCCATGATATTGAAACAAAATATGCATTGTATAATATCTAATGGGGACTCCAGGAAAACTCCTGAATTACACCTTACTTTTGTGATCACAAAGGGATATTGAATTCCTTAAAATGGTAGTCTCACTGTGAAAATGGAAATAGAATGCCAGCTTTGGTTAATGGCTACCAATTCTTTATTTTTTTTCTTCTACTTCAAATTTTGTATGGAAAAAAATAGCACTATATTAAGAGGAAATTAGCACCAAAAGATTGTGAACATCCCTCGAGAGAGAAAAACAAAGTCTCCAAAAAATATCCTGATATTACCTAGACAACAAATATTGTCTTCAAAACAGGAAGCCAGCAATAAATAGTTCTATCCTATCTCTTAGATCTGTGAGGGCAATCTTGGGTTTTCTCATATGAACTTTCTTTGGGATTCACATATGGTTCTACATATTAATAAAATAGAAAAATGCAGCAGTGATACCATTCCTAGTGGTTCAGACTTATTCTAAGGCTCTATCCCTAACCTCCTCCCATTGGAATGAAGAGGCCTGGTAATAACACAATCAGCAACATATCGTGGAGGCATCTTCCTACTTGATTTGAAAACTTACTATAAAGCTGCTATAACCAAACAGTATGACATGCTCAGAAGAATAAAATAATAGAGAGCTGGGAAACACAATAGGGAGCCCACAAATAGATCCAAATATATACTGGCACCTTATTGTATGAAAAGCAAACTTTAGCTTTGTAACGCAGTAGAAACAGAATTACTTGTATAATAACTGGAATTGGTTCAATGGCTGTGTGAAAACAACATCATTGGATTCTCTTGCAGCAACAATGATTATGATATATACTAGATAGAGTAGATTTTAATGCAAAAAGTACAACTAGCAAAGGGCTGGGTGGAGGCAGTGATAAATACACAAAGCACAGAGAATTTTTAGGGCAGTGAAACAATTTCGTATAACACTATAATGGTGGATATATGTCATTATATACCTTTGTGAAAGCCACTAGAATGTATAAAACCATGAGTGAACCCTAATGTAAACTATGGAATTGTGTGATAATAATGTGTCAATGTAAGTACATCAATTTTAACAAATGCACCATTCTTGTGTATGATGTTGATAATGGAGAAGGCTGTGAGTGTATGTAGGGACGGGGGCTTTATGGAAAATCTCTGTGCCTTCTAGTCAATGTTGCTATGAGCCTAAAACTTCTCTAAAAAATATTGTATATGTATTTTAAAAAGTACAACTTAGGATAGACAAGTAAAACCAAAATTATAATGAAAACATTGGCATAATTAACAGCATAAGAATTAATAAAATTTAAAAATCATCCGATAGTATATTATGAAGTTTTTTTTAAAAAAAACAATGTGGTATTTCATTGTATACCTGTGTGGTCATGGCCACCAGAGATGGATTGCCCAGGTATGAATCTTGGCTATGCTACATACTACCTGTGTGACAGAGGAATAGCGATTTAACTTCCTTTCTCCTCAGTTTCTTTATCTATAAAATAAGGATAAGAAAAAGTCCAACTTTTGGGTTTGTTATGAGTATTATGAGTTAATAAATGTAAGGCACCAGAAAAGTACTTGGCATCTATTTAAGCATTGCACTGTTTGTGTTAGCCTATATGTATTATTACACTAAATTTACCATATGCTTATATTACTTTTGCTTATATATATGCTTATATTACAAAAATATTTTATAAATAAGTATTCGCATGTAAAGATGACCAAGTTATGTAGCTTAAGTGAAGTAATCAATTTGAAGAACAGAATAATATGTATTATTAAATAAAACAAAGAAATCTATATGCTATAATACAGGTTTTGAATACTTATATGCAACTATTAAAGCAAGAAAAGGTACACTCTGCAGTGTTTACAATGTTTACCTTAATGGGGGTGGAATTTTAAGAATTGAAGAGAGAAGCGTAAAGGGTTTTTGCTCAGAGGTTTTTGTAGAAATAAATTACTTGCATAAAAAATAACAAAATTTCATCCATATGATTAATATGCCATAAACTTAGCATAATATTGTGAACATATGTTAAACTTTTAAGACAAGACACACTACACAGAAGTTATCCACAAGATAAATGATTGGCAAAGAGATGATTCCTTGGGAGGAACTTCTAACAGCTGGAAGAGCCCGTAGTGTGTTGTCTGCCTTTCTCAGGGGCTCTTCTCAGAGAACTAAAAGAATTTCTTAAAGACACATTTCATGTAATAATGTATTCTAAGAAAAGTGCTTAATGTTTTTATCATTGCATTGCAACAATACTCAATGAGCCAGGTGCTATGTGACACATTATATATGCATTGCATATTTCAACTAACTCAACAATCCTTTAATGTAATCACCGTGTTTATCATTATGTTTCCGGATGAAAAAACGGAGGCTTAAGAGAGCTTAAGTAACTGAGCAAGACAGGGGTTAATAAAAAGTGGGACCAGTATTCAGATTGAAATCACTGTTCTGTGTTTTAAGATTTTAGCCTGGGACTTTCAACTGTCATCTTATTATATGGAAAACATTTTTGGGTCTAAATCTGTCCAAGAGTGGCCTAGGCATAATGTCTTGAGTCCTGACAGCCTAAAATACCAGAATCAGATGATCGGGCTTCATGACTCTCTAGAATTTTTTTTCTCCCCTGTACCATACTGAAGTTGAAGATCGTCCTATTATGCTTTACACTTTGTTTCTGAATGCCCACAAGTATCAAAAGTGAATATGATGCCAGTTCCAACTGGCTGTAAACAGCAGTAATGTAAACACATTATTTTGTTATTCTGAACCATGTATATGTGACTGTGGTTACCTCTCCTTCAATTGATATGCCTTCCATATTGATATATGTGCTATTTTATTTCCTATTTGCTTACTCTATTATGTTAGCATGTTGTGTCAATCTACAACCTTGATTCCTTCTTAACTAATTCTTAGTTCAATATTTTTATTTCTTATCCCAAGGCTACCTCTTCGAGTTGCTTTGCTGAGTTTATTTCTTTTTTTTCTTTCCTTCCTTCCTTTCTCTTTTGTTAATCTGTTTTATGTGATTTTTGTTGTTGTCTTTGTTACTGACATTTCCTTTGCTATGCCATCTTCCCAGTTAGTCTAACTTCAGAAGGGTGAAGTCCTGTTTTAGAAAAAATATAGTATTCCACTGATATCCTTAACTGACTCACGTTAAATAAATTGCTGATTATTTTTCTTTATTAATATATAAAAAGGGGTAATGAGATTACCTAATCAGAGTCTTGTTTGAAGAGCAAATAATATAGCATATGAAAAAGAACTGACGTAGTGCAAATGAGAATTATATTAATTATAGGAATTGTAATTTACTCATTCAACAAATATTTACTGAGTCCTTACTATGAGCAAGCATATGAAAGGAAATAGGAACAGAGTGAATATGATTGTTTAAGCATCCCTAGGCATTAAAAAGCTAAGCTTAAAATTGTTTAATTATAATTATGCTGAGTAGAGAATAACTTGACCTAGTCTATCAAAAATAATTTTCCTTGAGAAAACGATACTTACTGTTATGGGCAGGATTGTGAACCCCTAAAATGCACATGTGGAAGCCCTAACCTCCAGTACTTTAGAATGTGACTTTATGCTGTATCTGTTTTGTATTTGTATTTGTAACCCCTTTAAAGAGGTGATTAAGTTTAAATGGATGACAGCTGTTAGGGTAGGCCCCAAAACAATCTGATTGGTGTTCTTCTAAGAAGAGGAAATGTATAAAAAAGAGATGCTAGGGATGTGCACACGAAGAAAAAAGATGATGTGAGGACACAGTGACAAGGAGGCTACCTGCAAGCCAAAAAGAAAGGCCTCAGAAGAATCCCAAAGTGCTGACATCTTGATCTTGGACTTCCAGCCACTAAAACAGCGAGAAATAAATTTCTATTGTTTAAGCCAGGGGTCCCCAGGGTCATGGACTGGTATTAGTCTGTGGCCTGTTAGGAACAGGGCCCCACAGCAGGAGGTGAGTGGCCAGTATTATCGCCTGGGCTCCACTTCCCATCAGATCAGCAGCAGCATTAGGTTATCACAGGAGCACCGACCTTATTGCAAACTGTGCATGAGAAGGATCTAGGTTGCGCCTTCATTATGAGAATCTGAGAATCTAATGCCGGGTGATCTGTCACTGTCTCCCATCACAGCCCATCTGGGACTGTCTGGTTTCAGGAAAACAAGCTCTGGGCTCCCAGTGATTCTACATTATGGTGAGTATGTAATAATAATGGAAATAAAGTGCACAATAAATGTAATGCACTTGAATCACACTGAAACCATCTACCCAGCCCCCATGGAAAAATTGTCTTCCACCAATCGTATCCCTGGTGTCAAAAAGGCTGGGGACCATTGGTTTAAGCTATCCAGTGTGCATTTGTTATAGTAGCCTTAGGAACCCAATACACTTACATAATTTTTAAAATGAACATTTTAACTGCTATTTCAGTTAATTCGTAGCCATGCAAGTAGCATACAAAGTGCCCCTTCCTTGCTGACTTGGTAACTCTGTACCCTAATTATAAAAAAAGTACAAAAGAGGAGAACATCTACTTTGCAGTCCTGTATCTATTGAGTGGGAAAGTAATTTCAGGTACTTATTAACAAATAAACAGTGAGTACTGCAACACTGCATAAAGTAGTTGATGGATCTGAATTTATTAAGACAGAGATTCTTCAGAGAGTTACTCCTAATGAATGCAAGTTTTAAGAGGGAAGGAGGTGTGAAAACTAACCAAATGTCCAAAGTTAGATTCTGTCATTCTTGTAAATCATCTCTAAGGGTCTCTTAAGGGGCATGCATATGCAACTCAATCCCATATTTTTAGCAGTGGTCCCTTTAATTTGTAAACATTCAATAATGGTAATACCAGAAAGACATCACAAGGGGAAATCCTGACTGACTAACACCAACAGCATTCAATCCTAGAGCCATATTTAGCTATGTTGACATGTTTGCCTTGTCACTTTTTTTAGTATTCTTGATATAAGCTTATTTGATTTACACACTTTTAATAGCTCATCAGGTACAATTGTTGCTGAATGCTGCATAAAATTAAAATACAGTTATTAGATATTAGGCAAGGTCTTACAAAATATGACTTATTTTCACATATACATGTTAACGTGTCTGAAATCAAAATAGGTGGGTTGAAATATCCGCTTCTTAAAATATAGAAAATAGCATTTCAAATAAGTTTTACTGAATGAAAATATTAAAAACAATGATACTTAACCCCCCCTTTTTTAAAGAAACATTTAAAAAATTTTCAAACTATGTTATCTTTGTTTGATTCAGGACCTTAAAAAAGTAAATTCAAGGAAGCAGGCTGACTGCTCCATTAAAATAACAATTTTTAAGGCAGTAAAAACTTTATCAAGTATTGTACTTTCAACCTAAATTGCTGTATTACATTTGATTGTTACTTTAGAATGTAAGTGTAGGTGATTAGTGTAGTTTTGCATTTGTACATTTGGGTATAGTTGGCCCTTGAACAACATGGGTTTCAATTGCATAGGTCCAGTCTGTGCACAGAGTTTTTTCAATAAATACATTGAAAAATATTTTGTAGATTTGTGACAATTTGAAAAAAATTTGCAGATGAACCATGTAGCATAGAAATAGCAAAAAAAGAAAAAGTTAGATATGTCATAAATGCATAAAATATAAAGATACTTTTTTTCATCATTCACTATCATAAAATATACAAAAATATATTGAAAAAGTTAAAATTTTTAACTTAAAAGTGTATGCAAATCTATTGAAAGAGTTAAAACTTTTACGTTAACTTAAAAATATATGCAAAACATGTGCATACATTTAGCACATGGTGCTATTTGCAGTCCAAAGAAATGTAAACAAATGTAAAGATCTAGTATTAAACCACAATGTATAATCTTCACTATACTGCATAATGTGCTAGTATCACAATTTCATAGGCAACTCCCATTGCTATTGCAATGAGCTCAAGTCTTATGAGCATGTGCTTAAAATGCCATGTGATGATCATTGTTTCTACATGAACAGTTCATCTCTCTAGTAAAATATGCATGATAGTAAAAGTGATCCCTCATGGTTCTTGCATGTTGTTTATTATGTTGAATGCAATACCATAAACCTTGGATAAAACAAGGGGACCCATATGAAGTGCCACTAGTGATGCTAGAAGTGTTCCCAAGAAGCAGATAAAAGTCAAGATATTACAAGAAAAAGTTGAACTACTTGATATCCACTATAAACGGAGGCCTGGAGCTGTGGTTGTCTTCCATATCAAGATAAATGAATCTATCATTAAGGATCAATGTAAAAAAAGAAATGAAAATTAATGAAGCTGTCCCTGTAACTGTGCAAGCAAGTGCAAAATACCTTCCACTTTTTGAAAAATATCTTTTTATCTTGTATGAAAAATATAGCTTTTACATGGGTGCAGAATTGCTAGAAAAGAGCCTACCTATAGACTCTAACATGATTTGAGAACAAGTGAAGTCATTATCTGACGAGGAAGGGGAAAAGTCTAAAGTTCTAGAATTTAATCCCAGCAAAGGATGGTTTGATAATTTTATAAAGGTTTGATGTACAGAATGATATCAGGAGAAGCAGCATCTGCCAACCAAGAGGCAGCAAACAAGTTCCCAGATGCCATTAGGAAAATCAGTAAGAAGAAAAGATATCTGCCTGAACATATTTTTAATGCAGACAAAAGTGCCCTACTCTGAAAAATATATATATATTCTGAAAAAGAACATTTATTAGTAAGGAAGAGAAGCAAGCTCCAGTAATAGGCTAACTCTACTGTTATGTACAAATAAAGTTGGGTTTATGATCAGGATTGCCCTACCTATAAAGCTACTAATCCCCAAGCCTTGAAGGCAAAGATGAACACGAGCTGTCAGTCTTTCGGTTGTACAAGAAGGCTGGGACAATGACAATTCTTTTTCTATACTGGTTCCATTGATTGTCCCTGAATCAGGAAGTACCTTTCTAGTAAGGGACTGCCTTATAAAGTTCTTTTGATATTGGACAATGTCCCAGGCCACCCAGAACCCCAAGATTTCAATACTTAAGGTGTTGAAGTGGTCTACTTGCCCCCAGACACAGTATCTCTAGTTCAGCCTCTAGATCAAGGGTCATAAAGACCTTTAAGACTCATTGCATGCAGTATTCTACGGAAAATATTGTCAGTGCTATGGAAGAGAATCCTAATAGAGAGAACATCATGGAAGTCGGGAATGATTACAGTATTAAGGATGATATCATTATAAAAAAATCCATAATTCCATCCAGTCTAAAACAGTAAATTCCTACTAAAGAAACTGTCCAGATGTTGTGCATAACTTCACAGGATTTACAACAGAACCAATCAAGGAAATCATGAAAGAAACTGTGGATGTGGCAAAAATATATAAATAAAAAAGGAGGGAGGTGAAGGGTTTCAACATAGGGATCTTGGAGGAATTGAAGAGCTAATAGACACCACATCAGATAAATTAACAGAAAACAACTTGATGGAGATGAGTGCTTTTGAACCCGTTCCAGACAATGAGGAAAAAGATGCAGAAGAAGCAGTGCCAGAAATCAAATTAACAATAGACAATCTGACAGAAGGTTCCAATTATTCAAGACTATTTTTGACTTATTTTGTGACATGGATACTTCTAGGAATAGGACACTGAAAGTAAAGCACATGGTGTAAGAAGGATTGGTATGGTATAGACACATTTTTAGAGAAGTGAAAAAGCAAAACAAGTCAGGCAAAAATTATGATATATTTCTGTAAAGTTACACTGAATGTGCCTGCCTCTCTCCATTAGTCCATTTTCAGGCTACTGATAAAGACATACGTGAGACTGGGAAGAAAAGGAGGTTTAATTGGATTTACAGTTTCACATGGCTGGGGAGGCCTCAGAATCATGGCTGGAGGTGAAAGGCACTTCTTACATGGTGGTGGCAACAGAAAATGAGGAAGAAGCAAAAGCAGAAACCCCTGATAAACCCATCAGATCTCTTGAGACGTATTCAATATCACTAGAATAGCACAGGAAAGACCAGCCCACCTGATTAATTTACCTCCCACTGGGTCCCTCCTACAGCACATGGGAATTCTGGGAGATATAATTCGAGTTGAGATTTGAATGGGGTTGCAGACAAATCATATCACTCTCCTGCCTCCCCTTCCACCTCCTCCACCTGTTCTGCTCTGCCACCCTAAAACAGCCAGACAAAGTCCTCCTGATCTTGCCCCTCTTCTGCCTTTTCAATGTGAAGATGATGAGAATGAAGACTTTAATAATGATTCACTACCACTTAATTAATAGTGAATATATTTTCTCTTCCTTATGATTTTCTTAATAATGTTCTCTTTTCTCCAGGTTACTTTATTGTAAGTATACAGGATATGTGTGTGTGTGTGTGTGTGTATATATATATATATATATATATATATATATAAAACAATTATTTATTAAATGACTCTGTGTTATCAGTAAGGCTTCTGGTCAACAGTAGCCGGTTGATAGTTAAGTTTTTGTGTAGTCAAAATTTATACATGGATTTTCAACTGCACAAGGTGTCAGTGCCCCTAGACCTTATGTTGTTCAAGAGTCAACTGTATTAGAATATCAGAATTTGGATATCTCTATTCCTTCTTTTTACTTTTCTTTTTTCACTCACCAGGTTACTTCTAGGACAAACGTCTGTTTACTTTGAGGATAAAATGTTTCAATTGCAAATATTCGGCAGTTTTTGGAGTCAATTAGTTTCACTATTTATCAATGAGGATAAACATATCAATTTATGAAATGATTTTAAGTGAGAAACCATGGCTTCTGTGTGAATCTGCAAGCTAGTCACACATGGAAGAGAATCTTGTTTTGGTATTTTGCCATACAATTTTTCTTTTAATAACTAAGAGATAATGTATAAACTATATACATGTATATATGTATATACACACATATATATATGGCAGGGTGATAGGGTGTTATAAATTTGCAGGCAGAAGAGAGTGGCCAGTGGCCAATTGCAATATGAGTTGCCTATGTTTCATTTTAAAGTAAAGTTTTTGTGGTGGCTCATGCCTGTAATCTCACCAGTTTGGGAGGATCACTTGAGCCCAGGAGTTGGAGGCTACAGTGAGCTTACATGTGCCACTGGATTGTAGCCTGGCTGATAGTAAGAACTCTGACTCAAAAAAATAAAATAAAGAAAAGATTTACACTTATTTGCAATAATGTTGTCTCTTATGTTACTTTTTACTCCTCTTGCTAAATCCCAATTTTCCAAACAATGGCCACTAATCGGCATTCCAGTCTTGCTGCCCCTACACTCTAATGTGTGACTAATTCCCTACCTTCTAAAAATTTGTGCAGTAACCAATTGAATGTCAATGTACCTGCTCCATTCTGCCTTATAAAAGCTTTAAATTCTTTGCTGTCTTCAAGAACACTCAATTTAAAGCTGTTCTTACCTTGTCTGCAACATTTTAATGAAGACTTGAGCTAATGGGTTTTGTTTGTGTTCTGTCCTTTCATGTAGCAGATTTTCACTATTGAAAAGTATGAAAGGTCTGAGAAAGTGGTAGAGCATGCCCAAGAGAAAGTAGAGAGCCAACTTTCAGCTCAAATACTCCCAAAACACATATTCTACTAACAGAAGGCTTATTTTCATTAATAATTCTAAAATAAATTAAATGCATAACATATTCAAAGTAAGTAAGCCTGATTGGCCCTACAGACATTCATTCCTACTTCAACTATTTTCTTTTTTTTTTTAATTTTTATTTTATGTTCAGGGGTAAAAGTGCAGATTTGTTACATAGGTAAACTTGTGTCATGGGGGTTTGTGGTACAAATTATTTCATCTCCCAGGTGTTAAGCCTAGTACCCATTAGTTATTTTTCCTGATCTTCTCCCTGTTCCGACCCTCCACCCTCAGAAAGTCCCAAACACTTCAACTGTTACTGAAGTACCTATTTTTGCTATTGAGTATATTAACCAGTTGAGCAAATCCATTGGAATATTTAAGGAAGGGAGACTTCCTTTGGCATAAAAATTAGGCAAAAAAATGAACATTCTAGGCAAAATAATCAAACAAGACACAACCATAGGATGTGAAAGTGACAAGCAGTGTAGTACAGGATACAAAGGCAGAAAACGTCCAAGATTCAAAACGGAGAAAACTGTCTTACTGCTCAGCTCTGCCACTGACCTGGTATATGGAACTGGTGCATAAATGAACACAGAAACAAATTTCTTTTCTTTAAAATATAAAAAATCTTAATTACTCTCTTTACGCAAAATGTTATGATTCTGGAATATCTAAGAAGGTAATGTAGGAGGACAAAGGGAAAGCCAAGATACTAGATTTACCAACAAGTTATTTATGTCCAGAAGCTTTAAGAAAGTGCAAAATGACAAAAAAAAAAAAAAAATGGATATTATGAGTCGCTGGTCCTGGAATTAAATATTTCAAAAATATTTTTTAACTTTACAGATCGTAGACTGGCATTATGAATACTCAATTAGTTTAGTACTCCCACTCAAAAAAATTAAAATATAGTAACTTTTTTCAACCTCATTATGCAGAAGTGGGAGACATAGCAAATATGTGGAAAATTTCTATTTCTCTATGCTCTATAAATCTATAGTATCACAAACTTTGTTTTCACTAAAGTTTTCAAACAATTACATTTTTAGACCATATCTCCAAGAACCATATGGGTCTACAATTCAGTGCCAAGGATTCTTCCTCTTCCCAAAAATTATGTTATTCAACTTTGGGGGACAAAAGCTAAGAGAGAAAGGGAGAGAGAGAGTGACAGTGTGTGTGTGTGTGTGTGTGTGTGTGTGTGTGTGTGTGTGTGTGTGTTCTCTTGCCTGCTAATAAAATCATTTCCTGGTTTCCAGGGGTCAGGAAGTAAAGTAGCATTCTGAACTACACAAGGAAAACAGTGTCTCACACGAGGTATTAATGAACATTACTGTGGGAAGAGGCAAAAGCTAACTGCAACGTACCTCCCTAACAACTCTGAACTTCACGTGACCTTATGAGTGATTTTATTACCATGCTTGAGGTCCACTGGAGTCCTTACATAACTGGCATAATATAATATTGGACAGTAAGTAATTAAACAATAATGTGTTCAGGGAAGAGCTTAAAGCTGCACAGTAAATGCATGATGCTGAAAAAATTCAGGAAGCTATTTTCAGCTCAGACTCCTACTAGAAAGAGGCTCTTGGTCACCAAGTGTCTTGGACAGATTCCATGTCATGGCCACGGCTCACTGAGGACAAAACTATTGGCAGAAAATAACCAATGTTATGGAAACAAGACAGCCTGGAGTTTATTTAAGTATATCCATATATTACATATTTCTTGTTTTCAGCACTATTTTCAACACATGCTGCATGAGGCCCTACACTAAAGAACCTCTTAAATTCCTGTTAAATTTAGATATCTGGCCAAGGAGAGTTCTTCCAATTCGAGTTTGTATTGTGATGTCTTGTTTGGGTAAAATCATGGAACTAACACTGCTTATAAAGTTCTGCCTAAAGAAAGGGTTACTGCTGTCTCAGGGTATTGATTGCATATCTCACCTGGAAACTCCTCACACAATTCAGTGATGGTTTAGCAATTTCATTATAATCATGAAACAACAGACACCATAGCACTAGTTTAATATTAACTTTCCTTATTATATTTTCATTCATATTACTGTCATGCTTTTTTGAAACTGATTATTCTGTTTTCTACAGCTTCCTAACAGGTTAGGAAAGCACACATGGAAGTTAGCACTGTATAATTCTTTATTTAAAGCATATAATTTGATAGCATGTGAAATTTAGATGACAATTCTTAAGTAAAACTAATCATAAAAATTATATCTGACATTTATTTTTATGTGCAGATTGTGTACTCAGATGTTTTACATTAGTGATTTTTTTAAGTTATCACATCAGCCCTAAGAGGAAGGTATTCCTACTTTCCTTATTCTGTAGGTAGGAAATCTGAGGATTTGACAACTTGAGTTGTTTGTTAATGTGATACTGGCGGGAAGTAATAAGGCTGAATCTAAACCTCTTGAGACAGACTCCACAGTCCATAAACTTACCACTAATTAAGAAGGAAAAAAAAGTCATTCTCTTTCTCATTTTTGGTATTTCATTAGTAAGCTGGAACAATTTCTGGCAATTTGGGATATAATTTTTTTTTGTTCTGATAATCATAGTAAATATTTACCGAGAATCAGCATTAAACTAAGCAATTTCAATATAGTAACAAATATTCATTCTCACAAGAAGCACATAAAGGAGAAACTATTATTTCTTCTGTTGTACAAATAAACAAAAGCATAGAGATTAAAATAAACTTGCCGAAGGTAACATAAGGCTTACGTAGTGGAAATGGGATTAAAACTCAGCAGTCTGGCTCCTGTGCCCCGGTGCTTGCCCCTTCACTCTAATGCTTCCAAGAAGAAAACAAAACACAACAAAAAGTGACAAATTCCCAACTTAAAATATTTATGAAAGATACATTTACTGGCCACATAGGATTTAGGAGGAGAAAGGTTATTTTAAAAACACTTTTTTTTTTTTTTTTTCTTAAAAAGCTGGGCACAGTAGCTCATGCATGTTATCCCAACATTTTGAGAGGCTGAGTTGGGAGAATCGCTTGAATCTAGGAGTTTGAGACCAGCCTGGGCAATATAGTGAGACTGCTATCTCTACAAAAAATAAACAAAATTAGCTGGGCGTGGTGGTGCATGTCTGTAGTCCCAACTACTTGGACAGGTGAGGTGAGAGAATCACTTGAACCCAGGAAATTCAGCCTGCAGTGAGCTGTGAATCCACCACTGCTTTCCAGACTGGGCAACAGAATAAGACCTTGTCCAAAAAATATGATAATAAATAAAGACACATTTTTTTCTAATGTTGAAGGAACATAAGTATATTAACAATGTTAGTTGCCATTTATTGAGAAATATGAGATTTGTAAAAGAAAGAAAGGTTAGGAAAAAGTTTTAAAAAATGACCTAAGGTTACAGAGCTTATATTTAGAGGTGATGGAATCCAAATCTAAGTAGACAGATAGGTTTGTAAAAAAATATATACATATATTTGTATAAATAAGTATCTATGTACACATACATATTTAGATGTGTATATACTTATATGTATAACTATATATACTTATATATGTATACACGCATACGCACATACATATATACATACATTAAGCAAGTACTAAAGCTAGGTTACTCTAGTGCAGATGCTAAAAATAACATAGAAAATCTGGAGATTATGCCTGGGTCCCACCAGAAATTGAGGAGTCCCATCTGAGTCTTTTGCACTGAACAGGAACTCTGTAATTGTCTCAGACTGGCAGCTTTCCCTGGCTTCCAGCAGAAGGAAACACATATCTTTGAACAAAACAATTCCTAATTAGACTGTTGGCATTCCCTCATATTGACTTCTAACAAATATGAGCACACAGTATAAAACTGAAAATATATAAAGAAATCAGTGGACGTGTGTGATAACCAGCAGAGAAATACCAACAACTAAATATTTAAAACTGTAAGGACATCAAATATTGTACTTATCCATAGCAGAAAATAAAATAAATACGTTTAAATAGATTGAAATTTTAAAGTATCAAAGATATATAGCAAGAAATTATAAATAACAGATAACATACTAAAAGTCAAATACACATTTTAGAAATAACAAACACAGAAATGTTAATGGATATTGTACTGTAAACAGTACAATAGATCCGAAAGAGGAGAGAGTTAATTGGAAGATTGGTCAAAGGCATAAGAGACAGGCAAGTCAATGAAATTTGTGAGAGAGGATAAAAGACATGGCAAACAGAGTAAGATAATCTAACGTGTGTCCAACTGAAATCCCAAAGGGAAAGAATAAAAGTCAGGTTATATTTGACTAGATAATCACTTAGCAATTCCCACAACTAATGGAGTCCTGAAAACAGTGATATCAAAGCCTTATGTATGTAAATCAACATGAATAAAAATCAACAATTCTCAGCCACATTATAGTGCAGCTACAAAACAGCAAAGATAAAGTGTAGATTTGAAGAGCAAGTGTGAGGGAAAGGGTGTGACAGACAGATCACTTACAAAAGACATACAATTAGTCTAAAACTAGGTTTCTCAAGGTTTCTCAAGCAACAGAAACTGAAAGACACTGAAATAATATCTTCTAAATGCTAATAGAAAATAACCACAAATCCAGAATTGTATATCTGACAAAATTATCTTTTAAGTAAATAATACAAATATTTTTAAATTAAAAGAAAAACTGTGACTATTTATTAAAATATGCTTTAAATTAAGAATGGTCAAAGAATGTGTTATAGGAAGAAGAATTCTGTTCCTCATCCAAGAATAAATCAAAGAGAATCCAATAACCTGGAAAGTTACTTGCAACATATAATTGTCAAAAAGTTTATTATAAAACATACAAAAAATACTAAAAATATCAGATAAAAATACATCTCAAGAGAAAAAACCTGCTACATTTCAAAATAGATATTTCAAGATAGATATACATATTTAAAATCAATATCTTAAGATAGATAATAATGTCCAATAAACATATGAAAAAGTGTTCAATCTGATTTGTAGTCAGGAAAATAAAAATTAAGATCATAATTTTATATAATTGTTACACCCAAGATTAGAATTTAGAAGATAAATAATACTAAGTATTGATGAGGATGTGGATCCATGAGAATGCTTTCATATTTCTAAAAAGAATGTGAACCACTGAAAAACATTTGAATAAAAAATTCTTGCATGTTCTCTTTTAAGGATGAACACATGTGCATCTTATAATTCAACCATTTCACTCCTTACTTTCTTTAGCAGCAAAGCTCCTTGAAAGAAGAGTTAGCTATATTCCCCTTTCCCATTTCTTTCAATTCTCTATCAAAACCACTTCAGTTGGGACTTTGTCTTCATTACTCTATAACACCTGCTCTTGCTAAGGTCAACAATAATTTCCTCATTTCTGATTCTGATTGTTGACTCTCAACCTTTAGTCTGAGAGGTTTAGTTTTCCCAGTAACTCATTGGTTACTTCTTTTCAGCCTCCTTTGCTACATCTTCCTATTTCCCCAGACTTAATGCTAGAATACCCCAGAGAAATGTCCTCGCCTCTCCCCTCTTCTCCATCAATGTTCACACTCTTGATAATCTTATCCAAGCTCATGGTTTGAAATTCCATCTATATATCCACAATTATATTAGGCCTAGATCACCCTCTTGGAATGTTTAATTATATATATTTAACTCTTACATTGCTTTGGAAACATATCCTTGCAACCCTCCCCATGTATGTTCCATTTATACAGCCTAAAAGCCACGAGGTTATCCTTCACTCTTCTCTCTAACACACTGCATATCAAGCGGTCAGACAATCCTGATGACACTCACTTCAAAAGATAGTCAGAATCCAACCACATGTCATCGGTCTTCTATCACCGTAGGAGGCAGCACCATCTCTTATCAGGATAATGGTAACACCTCTCAATCATTTTCTTAACTTTTAACTTTGCTTTCTTCATTTGTTCTATGAAATAGCCAGAAGGACTCTTCTAGAATGTAATAATTATGTACCTCTCTGGGCAACATCCTGTAATGGCTTCCCATTTCACTCAGAGAAAAATCTAAAACACTTACAGTTAACTATAAAACCTTAAGTGATGCCATCATTTAAGGTTACCTCCACATCATATCACTCTGCTGCAGTCTTTGCTGTTTTCACACACCAGTCATGCTCCTGCCTTAGGGCTTTTCACCAGCTGTCCCCTCCTGAACTTGTCTTCCTTCAAATATTTATATGGATAATTCCCTACCTCCTCTTTTTTCTAAAATGTAACCATCTCCATGAAGCCTACACGAGCCTCCTCATTTAAAATTCCTCACCTCTTTTTCATTCCTGGAACCCCTAGGACTCCTTACACCTGCTCACTATTATTTTAAAATCCCATAACATTTATAGTCTTGTAAAATGTAATTACACCTTTTTATGTTTGTTTTGGGTCATCTGATTCTATCAGTTAGAATATATACTTGATGTGTCTGGGATCTTTGTCTTTTATGTTTATCAAAGTAACTTAGAACACTATCCACAGAGTAAGGGCTCAACACATGTATTCTAAATAAATAAATGGACTACACTATTTGGTATGTTCTCTAGAGAAACCGTTATTCAGATGCAGTATTGATAATAGCAGTTGTGTTTGTAAAAGCAAAACACCAGAAATCACCCAAACATATATTGACTTTTAGGAAAGGTGCTGCTCAGAAGCACCAACTCTTCTGTAGGTATTTCATCTTGTCACATGTTGCTATTCATTTCAATGACACTTCTGTCCTTATTTTCAAAGGTCTGCATTTGTAATCTTTTAATTAGCTGTCTGATTAAAATCTATTTAATTGAGCTTTCGGTTAAATTTGGTATGAAAGATGGGAACTTCCTCCCTCTCCCCTCACCAGGATTGTTCAACTGTGGTCTGTTTTAAGTCTAAAAATACATGAGAATATTCTGCCTCTTCAGAGTAAGTAATAATGAATACAGCATCATCAAATGACAGCTTTTCTTTTTGTTTTGCCAATTAAAACCCCTAAATAATGTATTTTAACATTGCCAGCACCCTAAAATCTACCTTTATATTCACATTTATATTTTGATGCCCTATTATCATTGCATCTTGCCCATTTGCAAGGGGGAAGGGTCCTCAGTGTTTGAATTGAATATTCTTTCTTTCTTTCTTCCCAATCATTTATGTGTCCCTGAGTCCTTGTAATGGTGACAGCACATATCTAGGGGCTAAAAAGAATATAGAGTTAAAATATAGAGTTTAAAAAAGCCTTAAGATAGTGATGTAAAATAAACATGTAAAACTATTAGAATGAAATATTATTCAAACTCTCTCATTTTCAAAGCAGATATCACGATAAATATTGGTCAGTAAATTCTTCTTGACTAAAGTTATCAAACCCCAAAAAGGAACTGTAAAATTTATTTTTATTTATATTTAAACTAGGGTCCATGTCCAACATTTCCTTAATAACTGGATTACAGAGGGAAGGCATGTTAGAGACAGGAAGCCAACAGATACTTAGATAAAATACAAGAAGTTTTAGGCAAGGTTAAAAGAAAAGCATGAATTCAAGACACAGGAATAAAGTTCAGGACAACAGATTCATGTGACATACATACAGTTGTTTTCTTTTTAACTTTTTAGATTCTAGAGGTACCTAACTCATTTCCATGAACACTTGTGCCTTTGTTTAGCTAAAGATCTTAGAAATTGTGTTAATGCATTGCTAGCTCTGACATCTCTAATGTTAAACTTAAATCATATGTTCCAACCCTGTCATTTTCAAAACAAGAAACGCTTCCATGATCAGGTATTGAAATGTCAATTTACAATTTATAGTTTTAAAAAAAGTTTTTTTTAAAGCTAAAATACACAAAAGTATTCAAAAATCTTTGTTAACTACTGTTTCTTGTCTTTCTTTTACTTTGTGTGTTTGACAGCATGTTTTCCCAGAAAAAATTCACTAAGAGGATTATATCAAAAGTAAAATAGGAATTTAAAAAGCTTAACTACACACATACTGAAAATGACAAAACACTAGGAATATCTCTTTTGTGACTTAGTTTCTTTAACTAATCAAAGAAATACAGGAACAATCAAGATTAATTCTTCCAGGGTTGCCTTTAAATATAGCCTGTTTTTAAAGATAGCACTCAAAGTAGAAAATTGTATTTTTGGTTAGAATACTGACTTAGAACTTAAAAAAGTTAATTTCTTATATTTTTTTTCTCCTCATTTCTCAAAAACGTATCTTGGAAAAAACTAAGTTGCAGTTTTAATGAAAGAAAACAATATTTAATATATATTTATTTAAAAAATTAAAAGCTAGAGAGCTGAAGAATTAATGTAAACAAACTACTTCATAATGAAGTATTTCTGCCACTTATAGATTCAAGGAATTGCAGAATATTTTAATATTGTGGCTGTTGATGGTAATTAATATTGCTACTTCAGTTTTATAGAAATAGCTTCATCCGTTTGTCTACAAATTTAAAACAATCTCAATCTGTATTTTAAAACAATCTATATAATGTTTGGATTTTGTCTGGAAATGCATGAGTGGTACTAAGAGACTTATCATTTTTAGTGGATTATGTCAGTTGTTAAAAAAAAAAAAAAAAAAGGAACACAAAACTGCCCCTAGCTTGGAATTAAAGTGGAAAATTTTAAATGGCCTTTCAGACACTAACTTTTCCACATTCTAAAAGGATTTATGATATAATGTTTAATAGTGCTACTGCAGTACTTAATACCACATAATTCATACCCATAACAAAGCAAATGACTTTAAACTACCTAAAGAAAAGATGACACAGCTCAGACCACTGGATCAAAATCTTTACTGCCACGCTTGAAGACAGAAAAATACTTCTCCATGAGAAAATTACTTTCACATGGATCATATTTGGCACCTGGTTTGCTATTTTTCACTGTATTTGGATCAATGATAGCTTGAAAAGAAATATAGACATAACCTAAAAATGCCCAAATATATAAAAACTTATTTTCTAAGTACTATAAGACTGTCAGCAAACACTAAAGTATTGACTTTCTTATATTTCAAACATTTCACATTTTATCATTTCATATTTTCTGATAAATATGATACAGATATCACTTCAAAAATTTAATTTTTAACCTCAGAATTTTATATAATATTTAATTTTACCAGAATCTTTAAGAGTAAAAGTATATACTCATGAATTTCACTTGCCTGACTGGATGAAATACAATGCATATTAGATAAAATATATTAAATTATAACTTTCACAAATTGTATAATTTATAAAATTATGTGGATGAACAGGTAGTCATTGACATAATTTTAACAATCATTCTCAGTGAAGTTTTTGTTAAGGGAATGTTTCAAAAGCTCCAGTCTTTGTTAAAATAATAAAAATGGACATGCATTAAAAAATGTTTTGCCACGTTGAAATTTCATATGAGGTTGGAAATATGTTTTAAATTTTTTGAGACTATATATTTACATGATATAGAAGTAAAGATGATAAAAAGAGCAGTATCTTTGAAACATGCTCTTATCCAAATCTACATAATTAAAATCAGCTTGTTTATAGGTGATATTAATGTATAAATTTGATATCATCATAAAAACAAAAGCACACCAGATAAAAATCATTCCCAAGGGTAAAATTCAGATAAGTTTGTTAATATTAAGAACATATGAAAGGAAAAACATTGATTTAGTGGCAAGCAAAAATAAAAATTTTTCCCAATTACCAAAACGTCTTAAGAAGTTTTAAAATAGGAGGAAGCAAAGTTGAAGTTATAGACTTTTTTTTTAATTAGAGAGAGTGTTTCACTCTGTCACCCAGGCTAGAGTGCAGTAGCATGATCATAACTCACTGTAACCTCAAAATTCCTGGGCTAAAGCAACCCTCCCTTCTCAGCCTCCATAGTAGCTAGGACTACAAGGGCACAGTACGGCACTCGGCTAATTTTTTGTTTGTTTTTTGTAAAGACTGGGTGTCACTTTGTTGCCTAGGCTGGTCCTGAACTCCTGGCCTCAGGCAATCCTCCTGCCTGGGCCTCCAAAACTCTGGAATTAGAGGTATAAGCCACCAACTCTGGCCTTTTGTGTATTTGTTTTAGAGCTAATGACATAAAATTAAGTAAGTGAATACTTAAAATGAGAGCAAAACATCTAAAGAAAACAATGATTTGATATTCTTAATATTTGAATTAATTCACATAAAAAATTCAGACACTTTTACTAATTGGATTTTAATGACCTCTATTACGTCATTATGTTCAGAGTTTTAAAAGGCAATATCTAGTAAGGAAACAATACAACATTCTCTGATTTTATTTGCTAGCATTTTGGAATACTTTGACAAATCTACACTTCTAACTGTAATACTGAATCATGTAAAACTGCCATTTTTGCGGGTGAAAACAATACTTTCTAAGCCAACCCTAATTCTATAAAAGAAGCATTTGAAAACCCACAACATAGCTATTCCAAATTGTGTCTTCATAGCCCTTGCTTCAGAACTATTTGAAAGTTCAGTTAAGTGATCAGAATTAGCTATGAATATAATTTTATAAGCATAACATATCTCAAGCTATTTATACATAAAATCATGATATATGAATAATTTTAATAATAATGTATTAACTCAATTGGACATTTTACCAACACATTGATAATACTAAGAGTAATAAAAGTAAATATTTATATAAACTTGCTTTCAAAGTACCTTAGAAAAAGTTATTTTATCTCTAACAAGGTTGGAAAACAGGTATCATTTTCTGTTCTCCTGTTAAGTTTCCCTATAAAATTTCCTTAAGTAGCCTCACCCTCTGTCACCTCTTTTAGTACTAATCCAACTTCTGTTGGAAGATGAAGACCTAAATCTCCTCCAAACCACTTCCCTAGCCCTGAGCAATCTCACCTTCGACCCTCCAGGACACCAACTTTCTCATCTTTATCTTTTCCCACTCATCATGTATTACGCACACTCTTCTCTCTAGTTTGCAATCATGTCTTTTCATCACTGGTAATACATTTCCATATCTACCTCAGGATCATGCTCTCTAATCACAGGTTTGAAAGCCTAGTAATTAAAGTCTTCCAAATTATGATTGAACAGTATAGTCTTTGAGTAAAATTTTTAGGGTTTCCCCTAATGCTAACATACATAGCATGAATAAAGGACTTGGTTAAGCCTATTTTTAATTCTCAGATAAGAATTTTACAGGCAGCTTAAGTGAAAACATATGTATATAATATAAAGAAACACATGGATAGGTAAGTGTTTTCAATCATCTTGATTTTGTAAAATGGACCTTCAAAGTAAAGCCTTTGTAGGTTTAAAATTATGGTGACAATAATAAAAGTCTGAAAACGCTAAGATAATAAATAAGCATTAGCAAAAGTATTATATTAATGATACAATTTTAGCACAAATTAGGAGAGCTCTCAAAGTACCAATAAACCCCAAATTCCTGAAGAAATTTTACTGATAAGGAAAAATTGTTTTATATAAATAACAGTATTACTGTCAGCCCTTTGAGGACAACAGCCATATCTAAATATGATGCATTTTCGTATATACATTTGTAAATTGATGGTATTGAAAAACTTGACTTTTCTGTTTCAATGTACTTTTCATTATTTCAGTCAGAAAACTCTTATGAAGCCTCCATTAAAATCCAGATACTGTACTAAGCATTAAGGATACCGAAAGTAAAAACAATAAAGTCCCTATTCATAAAAAGAAAAATAAGCAGACAATATCAATACAGTGTATCATTTGTTTTATAATAAACTGTAAATTGATGTCCAATACATATTTTAAAATTTTATTGAGCTATAACACACATACTGTAAAATGTACATATCTCGAATGTACAGCTCCATTAATTTTGATTAATGACCTTGTAGCATATGTGAAATTGTAACGCGTAAAAATATAGGTAAACAGCACTATGATCAATATATAGAATATTAGAATCCCTCAATAGCTCCTTTCTATTACTGATAAAAGTAGAAGTTTGAAAAACAAAATCCCAGTAATAAATAGTATAACATATATACATAGTTAGCTTATATACTGCAAAAAATTATGAAGGTAGAAAACTAATTTGGCATTTAAAAAATCATAACACGGAATTTCCAACCATCTCTATCATTTTAATAATAATGTGTTGAAAAGATTAATGCGTATTTTATCACTTTGAAGATTTCAATCTCTTTGAAATGTAAAATAATTAAGTTTATATTGCATGGGAAATAAGTGTATAAACTTATCTTAGTTACTGATTCCAAATAGGTAAGTTTGAAAACTTCAATTAATGATTTGTATCCACACATTTGAAAAAGTAAAAATTACATAGTAATTAAAGCCTAGGTAAGTTTTGCTTAATAGCCATGGCAATGTTTGTTTTTTTGTTGTTGTTTTGTTATGTTTTTGTTTTTGTTTTTTTGAGAGGGAGTCTTGCTCTGTCACCCAGGCTGGAGTGCAGTGGTGTGATCTCAGCTCACTGAAACCTCTGCCTCCCAGGTTCAAGCGATTCTTCTGCCTCAGCCTCCCAAGTAGCTGGGACTAAAAGGCACGTGCCACCATGCCCGGCTAATTTTTGTATTTTTAGTAGAGACCGAGTTTCACCATTTTGGTTAAGCTGGTCTCAAACTCCTGACCTCACAGTCCACCTGCCTTGGCCTCCCAAAGTGCTGGGATTACCCATGGCAAAATTTTTTGTACCTGTTGTTTAAGCAAAAATAAAACAAAAGAAAACGATCAAAAACCCTGACAAGTAATTATACTAGTCATTTGCCAATGTCCTAGGAAAATAATAATGTTTAATGAAATAGTTTGATGGGTGGACACATTATAATGTAAGATCAGAAGGCATATAAGCAAGTTTTAATCCCTTTAGCTTTTTATTATCATGCATGAACAGTCTAACTGCAGGAAGAGAAATACACACAGAATACTCATTACCTTGAAGAGAGGGCTTACCAGGCCAGAGGATGGACAGAAACCTTGCCAGGGTTACTTATCTGAAGGAAGTCCATATTCACCCTTTCTTCATAAGGATTGAAACCTTAAGGACTAAGTGCTACAAAAGGCATAAAAGGATCCTTGCCTCATTAGAAACACTTCCTCTTTCATCCCCCTTCCTTATTGTTTAAATGATTTAAAATATTTAAATTATACTCATTATAGTACCAAAAGTTATGTAATAAAAATGAAGACTGTTAAAACTTCTAAACATCAGACAAGATAACTTTGAGAAAACAAATAATTTGAGAATGAATCTTAAGATTTCTTTAGCTGGCTTTAAATGTGACAAAATTATTCACTGTCCATTTGAAAGTAATATTTCAGGATGTTGAATTAATTACTAAAATACATTCTTATTTAAAACAGTCTGAATTAAGTTGCTAAAAACAAAACAACTCAACAACAACAAAAATAATGATTAATGTTAACTCCAGAAATAAAGTAATCTGACCAATAGGACAAGTCATACACTGATGACTTTATCCACTATTTGCTCTATTATTAGTTTCTAAATTGCGTGTCTAAGATTTTACCTGTAGGAAAACAGAAGTTTATGCATTATGTGTTGTGATTTGTGCACAAAGATGCTGCTATGTATCACCTTCTCTATTAGTTTTGTTTTCTCAGTAATTAAGTTGATATTTTTTCATTTCTCTCTATTAACTTTCTTGAGGCAAATGCCAAATGTTTTTAGTATCACATGCTGTAGTTACCAAAGATTAAAACATCTTAATTATTCCAAACTAGACTTTATGAACATATTCCCCTAAACAAAGGTGAAAACATCTAAAGAGAAGCAAAAATAATAACAAAGCATACATTGAGAAAACTGTTGGCTAACAATCCAATGTGTATTTTCTTCATAGTAACAAAGCCCTGACTTTATTCCAGATGATGGTAGTTGCTAATGAAATATAACTATATGTTATTAGTGGCGCTTATTGGAAAACTCATTATAAAAGGGGAGATATCTTGCACATGTTCTTTTTGCCCTTCTCCCATTCCTTATTTTCTGTTCAAAACAAGGATGCCATAGTTGGACATGCAGGTTCATCTTGGATCTTTAGGATGGAAGCCATAACTAAGGACATCAGAGCAGAATATGAGAAACCTGCTTCCTGATGCTTTTGTAAATTTAGGAATGCTCACTTCTAGCTTTATTTGGTGTGCGAGAGAATAAACTCATCTGTCTTTAAGCTCTTTTAGTTAAATTGCTGTTATTAACATCTGAATGCTTCCTAGTTTAGAAAGAAAGTAATGAGAAAATCTAAGATTCATCAATTTTCATTCAAAATATTATTTACATAAAGATTTTATGAAAATGAACAGTAATGAAAGCAATATATTCTGCCAGAAACTTGGTTTGCATTGTGTGATAGGGGCATCCAAAAGTAACCTAATCCCCAACATTGACTTTATTCCGTTAAGGACACAGATTAAAATACACACACACATACACACACACACACACACACACATTTACTTACTACTTAAAAATTATAGTAAAAAATTCTTGTTTGCTTCAATAGAAATGCTACTATAGTTCTTCTCAAGCATCTCTAACAATTGCATATTTAGGGTAGGTGATAATTTTAATTTTTGATATTGCCTTACATTTCATACATATGATAGAATGAAAATTTCCAGTGAATGAACTGAAATGATTTTTTAGGAATAAATAGGAGCCAAGTATAAGGGTGATAGGGTGTCATTCTTAGGATCTTGGTAACCTGTCAATTCACCAAAATTCTCTGAGGATTAAGCTCTTTTATATAATAAAGAGTTATAATAGATTATCTTTAAGGCATGAACCAGCATTAAATTTCCATGATATACTGAAGATAACTTCACATAAATACCACTAATAAGCACTAGATGGGAAATGGCCTGTAAATATTTTCTGACCATAATTCTTAGTTCTGTAAGACTTTAACTCTGCGCTCAATGTTCATACCTGTTAGCTGAAATGTTATAGCTCTAAAGTTCCATAATGCCATAAAATTATTATTGCCAATTTGTGAAATGCTACATTTACTTATATAAGTAATCTGTTACACATGCCAAAGATATATACCGTTTAGTATATTAAGATTGAATAAAATTCTTCTTAAACCCACCAGCTTGTCACAATGTCGTAAAACCGTTGTCAAAAATATGCATTTCTAGGTCCCTGAACCTATCAGTCAGAATGTACACGAGAGGGTACTAGTTGTCTCTATTTTTATCAATGGGGCAAAATAAAATTGAGATCAGGAGCATTAGGAATATACTAGGCAAAATCATACAAATTGCTCTGAAGAATACGAGGGATGTAAGGTTTAACATTTCATGAAAACTTTCAAAAAGTTTACAGGCCAGTAGAAGAAATTAAAAGGCAAACATCATTCAAAATTCATTACATAAAGAGCAATTGTCGATTTAAAAAAAAACAATGGAGAAGGTATAAATGAGGATCAAGTATTTCTCTTTGAGGTGTTGAAAAAGTTCTCATTGAGATGGGAACATAAGGTCAGTGGGATGAGCATGTTGAGAAGAGGGGCAGGTACTGTGGATGAAATAAGCATGTAGGGCAGTCCTCTGCTTTGTAGGATGTTCAGCAGCATCCTGGGCTTCTATACCTGTGATCCTAGTGGCACCCTAAATGCCTAGTTATCTCTTCCATTAAGGAAACTGATTAGTTACTCTACACATTTGCATGGGGGTTAAACGTAGGACTCCCTGTATTAGTCCCCTAGGGCTGCCATAACAAAATACCCAATACCACAGACTGGGTGACTCAAACAATAGAAATGTATTTTCTCATATAGTTCTGGAATCTGAAAGTCCAAAGTCAAGGTGTTGGCAGGGTTGGTTTCTCCCAAGGCCTTTCCCCTCAGCTTGCAGATGGCCACTTTCACTGTGTCCTCACATGGCTTTTTTTTTTTTTTTTCTGTGCACATGCATTCCTAGTATCTCTTCCTCTTCTTATAAGGACATTGGTCATAATGAATTAGGGCATGGCTCGATGACCTTATTTAACCTTCATTACTTCTTTAATGGCCCTATCTCTAAATATAGTCACGTTGAGGTTAGCACTTCAAAATATAAATTTTGGGGAGAACACAATTCAGTCCAGATCATCTCGTTTAAGAAGCGATGCATCAAGAGGTGAGGCTAAAAAGAAAAGTAGTAGTATCAGATCCTTGAGTACTTTGCTAAGGATTTCTTATTTCCCTTAGCAACATATGGAGAAATACAATTTTTAAGTGGATTTGGACTGGATGAGAAAAACGTGGAGGCACGGTGACTGGTATGGGGCTGTTATTACCACACAAAGCAAAACATAATGACTATCTGAACTATAACAGCAAGGTCATAAAAGGGGAGAAAAATTACATAGTATATAGTATTTTTAAAAAATTTCTGTTTACACAGGTAAGTTAAAGAAATTAATTCAGCACAATACTGAGAAACCTACTTATACATGCTTAGAACCACAGAGCTCTAAAACTGAAAAAGATTTCAAGGTAATTTTTACCAGTCTCCCAGGCAAAGTGGGAATCTCTTCTCTAGTATCTCGGATGAAGAATTATCTAGTCTTTACATAAGCACTTCCATGAGCGGAGGACTTACTTCCACACTGAGAAATTTATTCAATTTTTTAAGTTATTGTTTGAGCCAAACTTTCATGCATTGCAATCATTTTCTTAATTATGTGATAAAATTATTTCACATATTTCAGATCACTTCACATCATTTTTTTCCCTGGCTCTCTTTCATAATTAAATTCTCCAGGGATCAGAAAAAGCATTTCTTTAGTTCTTATCAGGGGCATACTGATATACTACCTTCATTAATATACTCTAGAGTGAGTTCCACTCAATATTCACTTAATATATTAACTTCTTTTAGTTAATATATTAACTATCTTCTTTAAAATGAAAATAGCAGACCTTCATTTTATTGTATTCCTATAGAAGTAGAGAGAACAATCTTTACAGAGGAATGAGGCAACATTTCAACACAAGATGCTAATGTTTCCTTCCAGCACATTTACTTTCTTGGTAGATCTTTAATTATAAAAGTTAAAAACGAACAGTCAAAAAATAATCTAATTGACCGTAACAGTTTTATTATGCAACTCAATAATGTAATCCTCTTCTAGCACACACACCCTCACACACATACCCTCCCCCTACACAAGGAGCACACTCACACCGACCCTTCTGTGTGGGTAGCTGTATGTGTGGATGTCATGTGTGTCTGGGTATATATCCCATTCTAATTATTTTATTTTTGTGTCAAAGGAAAATAATTACTGAAGATTCTTTGAGTAGCAGTGAGCAAATACGACTCACTATATACTATATATCTATGGGACCCAAGATTTGCCCTGGAGTGTGTCATACTGTGACTAATTTTCCTGTATCAGTATACTGGTATCTTGTAAAAGCACCCAATATTTCACAAAAGTTATTTATTTTACAAAGTATATTTATATCAAACATGGCACTGAACATATTTCAAAAGTTTATAGCGATGAAAGATTAACACACACTCATACATATACCAGTTATTTTTCCCTCAGGCAAAATAAAAGGAATAAAAGTTTTAATCTGAGATTATCAAAACATATCTGTTAATTTTTACAGAATCATATGGCCTTCCTATAGTGTGTCAGAGGTCAATTTTTTAAAATTATCTTCCGTATGACAATCTACCTGCAGAATTACTCATTTCTTAAACATAGTGTATGCATTAACTGTATGTGCAATGACATTAGTAACTTTAAAAAATGAATCTCATTTTTGTTGTGAGCATTAATCATTTTCTGGGCCTTGACATAAGAAATGAACAGTGTGAAGGATGACAGTTATGATAGAGGAGGCCATGTGTTAAGGCCAATAATTACTCTGACAATTAAACTAAACCTATTTGCTGGTTCAATACTTTAACAGTAACAAAGATGCAAGTTACAAGAAAGTGAAAATTAGACTCTTGCCAGGTAGTCTAGGTATTTTTCTGCAAGCTGTATGCCAGCTAATGTTGGGATGCAAAAATAAGACTTGCATGGCAGTATCCTGAGCCCGTATGTATACAGAAAAGGCTTGAATTCCTTTGAAAAATTAACAGGAACAAAAATAGAAATTTTTAGCATACTCTGAAATTTGCATTTTTAGTTTGCTATATCAGCAAGTCTGCTCTAGGCATAGACTTCCTCTTGGAAGGTTGATACATAAAATTTACTGTCTTATTTAGAGATGACTGATCTGAGACTCAAGTTACTTGCACTTGATGGTTTTTCTGTCATCGATAATTTTGTTTTTGTCAGCTGTTTTACTTTCAAGGAAACAGTAGTCAACAGTCAACATGCAGATCTGCGAATGTCTTGCAAAACAGTGAGCGAAAGGTAATTTTAATAACACAGATTTCTCAAACTCTATCCCAGGGTACTGAATCAAACTTCCCATTAAATTTTAAGAACTGCTACCCTAGGAATCCTATGCATTCTGAGTAATTGGAAGAAGAAAATGAAGGTAACACTAACTCTAATGATAACTCAGGGTTTACTAAAATGTGAAATGGAGTGGGATTGTAAAGATCTTGGAGGGATTTAGAAAGAGAATCCTTTATAGTCTTACAGGCAAAATGGATCTTCCCAAGCCCAGTCTCCACACAAACTCTGATGAACATAAATCAGTTATCACTTACCTCTAAATAATGGACAGATTAGAAAAATGAGTTACTTGGTAACTTCAAATAACAAAATAAGAATAGATCAAATCAAACTAAAGTATTTAGAAAAATTTTGGAAGAGATCACATGTGGTGGGAGGCCATGGTGAGAGGATTGCTTGAGCCCAGAGGTTTGAGACCAGCCTGGGCAACATGACAAAACCCCATTTCTACAAAAAATACACAAATTAGCCTTGCATGGTGGTGTGAGCCTGTAGTCCCAGCTATTTAGGAGGCTGAGGCAGGAGGATCACTTGAGACTGGGAGGTGGAGAAAATAGTGAGCCATGATTGCACCACTGCACCACTGCACTGCACTTCAGCCTGGGTGACAGAGTGAGACACTGTCTCAAAAAAAAAAAAAAAAAAAAAAAGGAAAGAAAAATTCTGGAAGAAATTAGAATATCTTGATTCATTCCTTCATTCCTGTTTAATCTAAATGTATGGGATAATTTCATTCTCAATAAACATTATAAGTAAAGTACCTCAGTAGCATTCTGTATCAATGATACCCCAGTTCTCTACAAATAATGCATGCCCAATCATAGAATAAGAAAAGCTACACTGATGCATTTCTTCAAAAGTTTCAGTATATCTTACAAGGTTTCATATAATTTAGAACTACCAGTCTCTTCTCCCATGGCCGTGGGTTGTTGACATTTTGTGGAGCATCAGATTTTTTGTTTCCTTGGAATGCTCTCCCTCCATGGCCTATCCCATGCCTCACCCCTGTCCCTACTTTTCCTGTCTAACTCCTGCTTATCCTTCACTCTGAGCTTAAAGTGAGGTCTTATACTCTTACTTCCACCTTCTGCCTTGGCTGGGCTGGATCCAGATCACTTACATGTTTTCATGGGTCTTGTTTTTCCTCTTTATAGCACTATGCAACTAAAATTATTTAGTTATATTTATAACTTTTATTATATCTCCCCATCACTTGTGTATAAATTCAAAAAGGTAATGAAACGTAGTTTTCTTGGTCAATCTATTTGTCTTTTGCACTTAAAAGCATATGGAATGTAGAAGGGCTTTTAAATATATATATTTTTAATGCATGCTTGTACAACTAAATGTGCAAATATGACAGGATAATTTCTTTAGCAGCATTTGTGGATTATATATGTCTCAAAATTACTAAAAAGCTCTAAATTATACTTTACATTTTATTGTTTTTCTTTTATTCCCAAATGATTGCTAAGGGATATAGTGTGACTGTGGCCTCTTTAAAATAGATAGATAAAACAAAAATTAAATTATTAAGGTATTTTACCTTTTTCATTAAACTGTATGGGAATAGTTAAATTTATGGTATTAACTATTTTTTATATAATATTTGATAACATTATACATTTTAATATTTGTGATATATTAAATTAGATATAAATCTTGGACTTTAAAAGAAGGTAGAAAGACTTTCATAGTATATTTTACATTTAATTAGCAAAGAAGTATCTTCAAATGTGTAAATCTCACTAAAAGTTTATGTTTGTTTATAGAGCTGTTTATCATTGTTGCTTCTTTTCTGGTACAGTTACTCTATTATGAGCACAGAATCTGTAAGTAAAATACAATGAAGTGAAAAGACATAACTGAGTTAAATGATTTCCAAATCTTGGTATTTTAGGGAACTAGAACCTAATCTGTTAAAATGAATGTAAAGCTTCAAAACACATTTCTTCCATTTTTCTTTCAACTGATGCCAGAGTGGCATTTCAGAGGGAATTAAAGTGTAGCTAAATAGCCACAGTTTTATATCCATTGTATTGATGTTTAGTATACTATGAACCCAGGAATGGATTCATAATATCATAGACTGCATTAGCAGGCTTTCCATTTAATTAGATTTTTATCATATCTAATGGATATTTAACAAGTAAAGACAATACAAGTGAAAAATATGAAGAAATCCTATGGCAGATAATACAAATTTCCATTGTGCTGAACTAATGAGTAGGTGATTTTTCTAGAATGACTTGACAGAGCATGTAAAATATCCAGCAATATGAAGCCTCAGAGACTAAAGCAATTGGAAGCTGAAGTAGATGCTGAGGTTCAGAGACTATAGCATCACCTTTCAGTGAGGTAAGAATTGATGTGTATGCATAAGTAAAACTGTGCTATTCACCATACAACAGGTCCCATGACAAACAGTAACATGGGTTTTTGCACAGTGTGCTATAAATTCTCAACCTTCATTTTCCAGGCAAAATGTGGGAAAATGGAGTTCAGTGTGTTTCAAATTGCAGGCAATCTTTGACTACATAGTAATATGAAGAGAACATGGGGTCGCAAATTTATAGGATGCATGAGCTATGATATGTAATTATTCATAGTGACTCAGTTTTGTCATTACTAAAATGGGATAATATCTACAATATGGAAATATTGAGAAGAATAAATTAGATATGCTCGTTATGAATAAATTAGAATATTAACACAGAGCATATGTTTTCATGAATGTGCCACTGCTCCTCCCTTATTGTATACAATTCATTAAGGTGGGAAGGTAAAAGTCTCACTATTGACTCAAACGCCATAAACTGCAGGAAGAAAGAGAGTAGGGCACAGGAAATCAAGTAGAGAGGGACACAGAAAGGTAAGAAGGTATGTAAATGAAAAAGAACATTACATATGAATAAAAGATTGAGATATGTAGTTAGTCTGATAAACTTTGGTCTGGCTCCAATATCCATTTCACTTTCCTTCTGTGTGCCTTTCAGCATAGTAAAGGCTAGAAAGAAGGATACATTTCCTAAACTCACTGGTGCCAAGGTTTTAGATGATAAATTCAACCAATCAGATACAATTAAAGATGATTTGGAAAACTAAAGTGAGGCAGAGGCAGTGTTTTCATTTCTATTTGAAAACCTGGCCATGAAGAAAATACTTTTTCTATTTTTTTCTGCAGCATTAGCTAGGTTTCCAGTGTTCCATCATCGTTTTTGGAGGCCAGTAGGGGCTAGACATGGCTGATTGAATTAAGTCTAATACAGTTCTGAATCTAGCAATAGTAGACGTATTTTCCTGATCCTTGTGGTTTTTGGAGCATACATGATTCCTGACAGTGAATGGATCCTGATCTTGGCTCTATGAACTGGTTCTCAAGCCGATGGCTTTTCATCACAGAAAAGGCATTACCTCCCTTGGGTAGCTTACTTAACTCAGTGATATGATTTTGGGACTTGTTCTTGACAGCTCAATCTGGAATCTGTTTCATCAACCCTACCCAGTGATTTAATACTTAGAAAATATTTTTCTGTTTAAACTAATTAAGGGAATTCTAGCCTCTGAAACTAGATGAAGATTCCAATAAAGTTGCATAAAACTTATAATCAAAGGAAGAATTATGTAGACAAACAACATCTTAGACCATTTGAAAGGCAACTCTCATTTGATTAAGTCTTAACATGCTTTATTTTTTAAAACTTACACATTCACACTCCAACCAAAAGAGGGATGAAATACAGAAAATAATCTCCGACCTCCCCACCGTATACTCTATTAGAAAATGTAGGATAACAGAAAGAAGAAAACAGATTACTATTTTAAATGAACTCACAACCATATAGGGAGTCACATGTGAAAAAGAAATATGAGTACAAAACAGAGTAAGGCAAGCACAATAAAGTGGTAAAGTGATACAGCAGCACAGATCAAAGGGAGAGTATAATAATTGTGTCTGTGACGATGAGAGAAGGGCAATGGCATTTCTTGTGATACTAACGACTGCAATATTTTGGAGAAGGTTTCTCAAAATGGGATCCAAACAACTAGTTGTCTGAGATTAATAAAGAATGTGTTTCAGTAACATGTTTGGAAATACTGGGTTAAAGCAAATTATGTTTTGTTTCTCAAGGACTGCTCAGAGACTTTAATACTTAACACACCTTAGGTATTGGCAAAAAAGGAGAATAATCCACAATACATCATGATTTTTTATAAATATATTTCAGTTCTCATGAGCCATCTGTCAGAAGTACTGTTCTAAGAAACACCTTCTTAAAATAAGTGTCATAGATAACAAAGATTCTTATGAAAATGAAAAAAATGGCGATTGTATGTGCAACGCATTGAGAAAAATCAGACCAGGGGATATGGTTTGTCTGTGTCCCCACTCAAATCTTATCTTGAGTTGTAACTCCCACAATTCCGAGGTGTCGTGGGAGGAACCCGGTTGGAGGTGATTGAATTATGGTGGTGGGTCTTTCCCGCGCTTTTCTCGTGATAGTGAATGAGTCTCATGAGATCTGATGGTTTTAAAAATGGGAGTTTCCCCGCACAAGTTCTCTCTTTGCCTGCCACCATTCATGTAAGACATGAATTGCCCCTCCTTGCCTTTCACCTTCCACCATGATTGTGAGGCCTCCCCAGCCACGTGGAACTGTTAAGTCCAATAAACCTCTTTATTTTATGAATTGTCCAGTCTCGGGTATGTCTTTATCAGCAACATGAAAACAGATGACTAGAGTAAATTTGTGCTGGGAGTGCGACACTGCTGAAAAGATACCCAAAAGTATGGAAGCAACTTTGGAATTGGGTAACAGGCAGAGGTTGGAACAGTTTGGAGGGCTCAGAAGAAGAAAGGAAAATGTGGGAATGTTTGGAACTTCCTAGAGACTTGTTGAATGGCTTTGACAAAAATGCTGATAGTGATATGAACAATAAGATCCAGGCTGAGGTAGTCTCAGATAGAGATGAGGAACTTTTTGGGAACTGGAACAAAGGTGATTCTCTTTATGTTTTAGCAAAGAGACTGGTGGCATTTTGCCCCTGCCTTAGAGATTTCTGGAGCTTTGAACTTGAGAGAGATGATTTAGGCTATCTTGTGGAAGAAATTTCTAAGCAACGAAGCATTCAAGAGGTGACTTGAGTGCTGTTAAAAGCATTCAGTTTTATAAGATTAGCAGAGGATAAAAGTTTGGAAAATTTGCAGCCTAACAATGCAATAGAAATTAAATCTCATTTTCTGAGGAGAAATTCAAGCCAGCTGCAGAAATTTGCATAAGTAATGAGAAGCCAAATGTTAATCTCCAAGACAATGGAGAAAATGTCTCCAGGGCCTGTCAGAGGCCTTCACAGTAGCCCTTCCCATCACAGGCCTGAAGGCCTAAGAGAAATAAATGATTCTGTGGACTGGGCCCTGGGTCCCTGTGCTATGTGCAGTCTAGGGGCTTGGTGCCCTGTATCCCAGTCACTCCAGCTGTGACTAAAAGGGGCCAAGGTACACCTTGGGCTGTGGCTTTAGAGGGTGCAAGCCCCAAGCCTTGGCAGCCTCCATGTGGTGTTGAGCCTGCAGGTGCACAGAAGTCAAGACTTGAGGTTTGAGAACCTCCACCTAGATTTCAGAGGATGTATGGAAATGCCTGGATGTCCAGGCAAAAGTTTGCTGCAGGGATGGTGCTCTCATGGAGAACCTCTGCTAGGGCAGTGAGGAAGGGAAATGTGAGGTTGGAGCCCCCATACAGAGTCCCCACTGGGGCACCACCTAGTGCAGCTGGAAGAAGAGGGCTACCATACTCCAGACCCCAAAATGGTAGCTCCACCAACAGCTTGTACCATGTGCCTGGAAAAGCCACAGACACTCAACGCCGGCCCATGAAAGCAGGTGAGAGGGAGGCTGTGCCCTGCAAAGCTACAGGGGCAAAGCTACCTAAGACCATGGGAATCCATTTTTTGCATCAGCATGACCTGGATGTGAGACATGGAGTCAAAAGAGATAATTTTGGCACTTTAGGATTGCCCCACTGGGTTTCGGACTGCACAGGGCCTGTAGCCCCTTTGTTTTGGCCAATTTCTCCCATTTGGAATGGCTGCATTTACCCAATGTCTGTACCCCCCATTGTATCTAGAAAGTAACTAACTTGCTTTGAATTTCACAGGCTCATAGGCAGAAGGGGCTTGCCTTGTCTCAGATGAGATGTTGACTGTGGACTTCTGAGTTAATGATGAAATAAGACTTTGGGAGACTGTTCAGAAGGCATAATTGGTTTTGAAATGTGAGGACATGAGATTTGGGAGCAGTCAGGGCAGAATAATATGGTTTGTATGTGTCCCCACGCAAATCTCATCTTGAATTGTAACTCCCACAATTCCCATGTGTTGTAGGAGGAACGAAGTGGGAGGTGATTGAATTATGGGGCGGGTCTTTCCTGTACTCTTCTTGTGATAGTGAATGAATCTCATGAGATCTGATGGTTTAAAAATGGGAGTTTATCTCCACAAGCTCTCTCTTTGCCTGCCACCATTCTTGTAAGACGTGAGTTGCTCCTCCTTGCTTTCCAACTTCTGCCATGATTGTGAGGCCTCCCCAGCCATGTGGAACTGTAAGTCCAATAAACCTCTTTATTTTGTAAATTACCCAGTCTCTGATATGTCTTTATTAGCAATGGGAAAATAAACTAATACACCAGGATAATGCCCACTGCTATAACTAATTTGCTGCTAGATTGAAAAAGTCTTTCAGATGCTATGTTAAGGAACTTGCACAACATATTTCAGTAAAGGGGAAGCCATCCACACTTGTTTTTTAAATGAGGTGTTCCAAACCCTGTTTAAGAACAACCATGTGGCATTAAGGTCACAGATCAGATCAAAGTACCAGCCCGGATTGGATGGCAACTTTGAAAAGTAAAAAATTTTTTTTCAAAGGTAAAAAATAATTATAAACAGTATATGTTCTTTGAAAATTTGCAATGCAAAACACTCATATGTAACAGGAACACACATATAACAATAGAAAAACATAAATCTGCATCAATATCAAAGTCAAAAACTCATTTCAGTAATTTTCTTGAAAGGGTTTTGTGGTTAAAAAAGAAAATAATTTCATGACATTGATAAAGATTTTATTTTCAATCACAACTTTCTTTTAGTATTGCTCAATATGTCTTATTGAGGATGAAAATATTTAATTTTATGATTTTTTAAGTACACAAATAACAGATATAATAATAATTAGAAGAATACAAAATAAGCATAAGTAACACTTATGTGCTGATCATGTACCAGGCACTATTAAATTTTTTTTTTTTTTTTGAGATGATGGCTCACTATGTTGGTGAGATTGGAGTGCAGTGGCTATTCACAGGCACAATCTTAGCCAACTACAGCCTTGAAATCCTGGCCTCAAGTGATTCTCCTGCCACAACCCTCCCAGTAGTTGGAACTAAAGGCACGCATACTGTGCCTGGCTTGAAATTCTTTTTTATACATAGTCTCTGTCGCCCAGACTGGAGTGCAGTGGTGTGGTCTCGGTTCACTGCAAATTCCACCTCCCAGGTTCAAGCGATTCTCCTGCCTCAGTCTCCGGAGTAGCTGGAATTACAGATACCCACCACCATGCCCAGCTAGTTTTTGTATTTTTAGTTGAGCCTGGGTTTCAGCATGTTAGCCAGGCTGGTCTTGAACTCCTGACCTCAAGTGATCTGCCTGTCTTGGCCTCCCATGAAATGCTTTGTCTTAAAAATAACATTATAAGTAGTATCATTACTATTATACATCATGTTTATGGATTATCAAAGTAAAAATCTGGGGTCTAGTGCTTTGCTCAAAGTGATGGTTTTCTGGTTACAGGCCAAGTTACCATAACAGACACACAAGTACAGTGGCTTCAATAAGATAGAATTTTCTCTATTACATGGCAGCTGAAAGTTACAGGCAAGTTAGCAAGGCACCTTTGTTTCACAAGAGCAATCATCAGGGACCCAGATACTTTCTGTCTGTTGGTTCTGTCATCCTCCAGATATTGCTTTCAAGGGTATGGCTGAAACCAGCTTTCCATGACTATGTCTACATTCAAGCCCACTGGAAGTATCTGAGAGCAGTGGAGGGTAAAGAGGTGCTTTAAAAGGGTGAGATTGAGAACGTGCTACATCATTTCCTTTCATATCCCATTGACCAAAATTTAGTCATATGACTTTGCATAGCTCCAAGGGAAGGTGGATGATTACCAAAAGTGAGTAAAAGGGAATGAATATTGGGGACTATTAGCATTCAGACTTAAAAAGTCCTAGTAAATCACCTGGGTTCCCTTCTACTAATTCACAGAGCTGAGATACAAATCCAGTCCTTATTTAACTCCTAGCTGATATTCTACATCTAAAATCAATCTGTGAAACAGGTATTAACCCCACTGATAAATGTATACTTATGAATACAGAGATAAAGTTATTTCTCTAAGGTCAGCAGCTTCTCAGAAGCATTGCAAAATATGAAACTGCATCTTCAGTAAGCAACAATTTTGTTCAAAATCACATTATATGTATTTTTCTATGATTAGCAATGCATTATTCTTTTATGTATATGACCTTTAGACAGTCTAGTCTTATATTCTACAAATATATCATTCATTCAACTTATTCATTCATACATTACCATTCCTTAGTGAAAGTGTCCTTTTTTTTTTTTTTTTTTTTTGAGAAGGAGTCTTGCTCTGTCGCCCAAGCTGTAGTGCAGTGGCACTATCTCGGCTCACCGCAAGCTCCACCTCCTGGGTTCACGCCATTCTCCTGCCTCAGCCTCCCGAGTAGCTGGGACTACAGGCGCCCACCACCATGCCTGGCTAATTGTTGTAGTTTTGGTAGAGACGGGGTTTCACCATGTTAGCCAGGATGGCCTGGATCTCCTGACCTCATGATCCTCCCACCTCGGCCTCCCAAAGTGCTGGAATTATAGGCATGAGCCACCGCACCCAGCTAAAAGTGTCTTCTTATCTACAAGAGGCTGACTACCAGGTCTTCAAAAAGAATCCTCTTTTGTGACTTCTTCTGGCAGAAAATTTGACTAATGTCATTTTAACTTATAGTAGCTTTGCCAGAAGAATGTACCCCTGAAAATCAGAAGATTATCTGTATTGACTGTAGGCTATGAAATCTATCTCCTAGAGCTCACTAGTCAAATATGGCTCAAGCTTTCAGTGAGAGAGAATCAGTATGCAAATCGGATCACTTACATATAATAAGTCAGTCTATTTCTAGGTCAGTCTCTACAGAAGTGTATATCAAAATAAAAGCTCTCTCCTGAATTCCACTAACTTTAAATCTCAGCAGAGAGGCAAAGGTCAAACAGAGAGGGCCAAGAGCAAATTGAGAATAAAGTAATCTTGCACATGCCTTGAGTTTCCACTACAAGTGATACCAGCAATCAGGGGATGCCTCTCTGTGCTGGGAGTTGAGGTGGATAAAGTGAGGGCACCACCAGACTTTAGTGCTCTCTGTCTGGATACTTTCATAACTACTAAAATGCACTTTAAAAATTTCAGGTACATTAGCAGTGCCATAGGGAGTTGAAATCTCTTTTCATACCATTTTAGCAGTCATTTGGCTGTATCACAGGTCACTGTTTCTTGTATGCTACAGTAAACCTCTACCTAAAAAGTGTCAGTCTGGCTGTGAGAAGCTATCAACTATCTGCATGGTCCACAGGACTCAAAAAAAAAAAATAGCTTGTCTCACATGCCAGACAAACTCTCTGCTTCATTGAATAGCAGCAACAGTCCTTCCTGGAGATCAACGACAGCTTCCAAATGCATTTCCATTATCCTTACCCATAAAATATGTGTATAACAATGCATATAATGATGAGTTTGGACGTCGATTTTTAATGAAAAATAGTTCTCAGATTTGTCCAAGTAATTTGCTTTTATGTTTCTGACCTTCCTCTGAAATTAGTTCCATGTGTTCTGTAACATTCTTCATCCAGATTTTTAAATTTCTAAAGAATTAAAAATGTTATATTAATGATTTATACCATTTTTATCTAAGTTTATTGAGAAACATAATACCAAAAAATAGTATAAAATTGAAAGTGTGAGCAGGTGTTTTTCCTCAAAAGACATTCCATATATTTCCCAATAGAATAAAAACTATCATTTAGGCCTGAAAAATAATATCATGTTTTGATATTTAAATTGTAGCTTTCCAAACTCTTGAATTTTTTAAAAGTGTTATAAAGAGGGAATGAGTTATTATGGTGGTCATTATACATACATGAGCAACATATATTATGAAAAATATTTAATAGATTTGATGTGTTTATTTTAATGTTTCCAGGAAATTTCTAGTCTCCTAGAGTTCAGCACTAAGACCTTTACATTCAACCCCATGTCTTGCTTTCTACTATACAATACTAAGTGAATTCCTCGATGTTTATTTACTCAATAGATATTTCCAGTCAACAGCTATGCATCAGGCATTGTGTTAGCACTGAAAATGCAATGATGGGAAAAGAAGACATGGATCCTGCTCATGTCTTTTAAAGCCTTAGAAGAGAGATAAACATTAATAAAATAATTATACATGCATGAATTACAAATTGTGTTAAGTTCTATAAAAAAGGGGTATAGATGTTAATGACAGGGTAATACGGAGTGGGATAATTTAATCTGTGATTTGAGAGGGCTCCTGTGAAGAAGTGCACGAAGCTACAAAGTTTACAAAAACAATGTGTGTGGGTGAGTAGGGTGGGCAGCCAACTGTGAGCTGGCAGGGGAGAGGATTGGGTACTCTGAGCAATGGGTTGTCCACATGCTCACTCTCAAAAGACCCAATTGTAAGTCCTTGGGCTTGAGCTTCAGTTGTTTAAATAGAGTTCCTCAATTTACATGCCTCCTTCCTTGTACTATTTTGGGATGCTTCCCTAAATGTTCAGTAAGAGGACTGCTTCAAAATCTTTGACTTTTTTTTTCTTTTTGACCAGGCAAACAAATGGCTAGGTTAAAGAATGTGTTTGCCAGCCTCCCTCCAACCATGCAAGGTCACTGAACTGAATTCTCGCCAGTGGTGTGCTGCTGAACGGTCATACATTCCAGAAAGTCTTCAAAGAAAAGGTTAGATTATGGATGGAATCGCTAGAGCACAGACAACCATCTTAGACCATGAGGTGGAGAATAAAGAGGGAACCAGATGGAAGTAGGCTGGTTCCTGATGAGTCTACTCTTCCTGTGCTGGACTTCCTGCCTTTAACGTTTTTTTTAACATAAATAAATTTTTCTTTAGCAGTTATATTCCATTCTCCACCCAGCAACCAAAGTGATGCTTTCAAAATTTAAATGAGATTATATCTGTTCTTTGTTTAGACCCCTAAATGATTTCTAGTCTCACTCAGAGTAAAATACAAAGTCTTCTGGCCCTTCAAGGCCCTTTGTGATTTAGCCTCATCTACTAACTCTCTCCCTCTTTCACTGTGTTCTCTTGAAATACTATTAACCTCAAATAACCCTATAGCTAACTCTGTCACTTAATTCGTATCCCCACTCATTTAAAGCATAAAGTGCATTCTATGATCATCCTACAAAAAATTACGCTCCACATATTACTCTGTCCAGCAGTGCTCAAGTCACTTATATGGGTACAAAATATCATAGTATTTGCATATAACCTATGCACATATGGCTGTTCACTTTAAATCATCTTTAGATTACTTGCAATACCTAATGTTGTGTAATAGTTGCCAAACTATATTTTTAAATGTGTATTGTTTTAAATTGTTGTATTATTTTTTATTGTTTTTCAAAAATATGTTTGAGCCACATTTGGTTGAATCCTGGGATGCAGAACCTGGGGATATGGAGGACAGACTGTATAAATATTATGTATATTTATGGGAAAATACATATATGTGCATTTTTCCCTTGTCCTATCATTCAGTTGTAAGCTCCATCAGGATAAGGGCTTTGTGCATAGTTTTTCAATGTATACCCAGCACTTAGGATAAAAGTGACTAAAGCCTAGAAGTTAATTTATAAATATTTGTTGAACACAGAAATAAAAGATCTTTATTAAGTTCACTCTAGCTCATTATAGATTGTTACAATAGCAAAAGTAAAAGCTGATGTTTCCCTGTAGCCTACCTAGCTGAGAGGGTAAAAAAAAGTCTTGGCAGTGTGTATACTCCCAAAGTCGGCTGATACTCTTTTTAAAAGCTACTTAACCACTTCCCAATCCCCAGACTTATATAACACAACCCCCTCAATAACTATGTAGTAAACTCAGTAACACTGGTTAGATGGGGAAGAAACTGTGTCTGAAGAAGACATGGAAAACATCAGAGTAAAGCATAGGTCAGAAAAAGGAGAAAACAGAGAAGAGTAGCATCCTGGAGACTGGAAAGAATCCCCTACGTCAGTGTGGCTGGGAAAGATGCCACAACATCACAGGATAAAAAGTAATGCAGATCTAAATGCACCACAATTTAAATATCCTCTTCCTGTCTATTCCTTTGGAAAGTCTTTATTCACTCAACAAATATGACTTGAGCTTAAGGCATTAGGGGTACAACGAACAAAAACCACAGACTCTGCATACAACTTTTTGAGGGAAAATCGAACAAGTGGGGCATCACTACATCCTAGGGTTTATGGTATCATATTTCATTCCTTCTGAAGCTGAGTTATAGAAATATATACTCTGACTAGGTTAAGAGGTTTATGTAAAATATTAATGAGGTAAATTTTGATAAACTGAATTTCTCAGATAAAAAGATACAATAAAATGTTTTTTTTTTTTAATTTTAGCAAGGAAATTGAATTAGGATAAAGTGACAGATAAAAGAGTCTATTTCATTTAAAGGAGTATTCATTTGACTCTACACTAAAGCTTAGTCTACTTGGAAGAAATGCATTACATTCATACACATTCACTATTATATGATTTTAATATATTTTAATATATTTAATCAGTAAGAAATTGCTCTTAATCTCAGCCTGGACAGTATCATAAAAGTACAGTTAAAACCTAGCATAGGCTGGGCGCGGTGGCTCACGCCTGTAATCTCAGCACTTTGGGAGGCTGAGGGGGGTGGATCATGAGTTCAGGAGATGGAGACCATCCTGGCCAAAATGGTGAGACCCTGTCTCCACTAAAAATACAAAAAATAGCTGGGTGTGGTGGTACATGCCCTCAGGAGGCTGAGGCAGGAGAATCACTTGAATCAGGGAGTTGGAGGTTGCAGTGAGCCAAGATTGTGCCACTGCACTCCAGCCTGGAGACAGAGCGAGACTCTCTCAAAACAAACAAACAAACAAAAATAAAAAACAACTTAACACATATTATATAGAAATATTATATTTTATATTTTCAAATCGAAGTCAGGAACTTGGCATTTTCTTCATTTCTGACATACCTTTGCTTAGAACCCTTGGCTGAGGAAGTGGCTGATTTGAGTTGTATTTGATCTCTCCTCACCAGCTGTGCATTATTGATAGAAAGAGGAAAGGGAGGGACAGGTGGATGGAGTGGAGGTTGTCTATTCATATTTTATAAGCCTTTCCTTGTGAGCCCTGCAGTTGTCATCAGAGCACAGGCCCACATGCAGTGTCCCTCACAGCCCAAGGACCACTGACACAGAACCAGGGTCAGGATATGCAGCATGACAGATTCTTTGAAGTCTGCATTTTGGTGGCACTTAGACACAAAATATTTGGTCACTTTTGACCTCAAATAACCCATGAGGCCATGGGCTAAACCACATATGAATTGTCTAACATCATCATGAATCCTGTCTTTTGAAAATCTCAATTACTATTTCTTATATCTGACTAAATAGAGCTGTAAAGAAACCAGAGCACAGAACTGAAATTTGGTAACACAGTGAAAGAGTACAAATAGCTGGTCATTACTTTCCTATACTAATTTAATCAATAGTTCCCTGTTGTAACAACCTATGCAAAAGGACTTAATCACAACTTCTAAAACAAACTAGAGAAATATATGTAATATATAATATAGAACTAGAAAAAAGCAGGAATTTGAATAATGTGATTTTTTTTTTTAAGCATGGATATGTTCTAGTGCAAAGCAGACAGAAAGTCAATCCCAGAAAACCTTTTTCTTACTAAGGTTTGCAATGATCAAAGTTTGGATAAAAAACAATTGATCCAGGATACAATGTAGTTAAAATAGGCAGTAAATCAAACACATGAAATAGAGGTTTATGTAGTTGCCATATATGGATTTAACTAATAAAGATATTAGTTAATAATTGACTAGCAGGGTGAGTACTTAAAGGCTATTACATCATATTACTGTGGTAACCTGTCTTTTTAATGAATATTAGTCACAACAAAATGTGATCATTTAGAGCCTCAAGATGAAGTGTATTCATAGCTATCTGTATATTTTTAAAGAACAAATAAAGCCCAACATGCCATTGCCAATAGCAGATGTGATTCAAAAAGCTTGAAAAATAGCATATCATAAAAATGTGCTTTTTAGTTTGCAGCATTTTTTCCTGAATGCCATGGATTGAGGTCTCCCAGGAAACAGACTCTGTATAGAGATGTGAATGCAGGAGATTTATCAGGACATGCTGTCTCAGGGTCAACACCAATTTGGCAGTGTGTGAGAGGAAGGAGTAGGAATTGGGAGAGCTATAGATTAGGCTGTGATATAGTCACAGTAAGACCTTGGGCAACCCTGAAGCAACCCTGAAGCTGGATTGGCTGTGGAGAGTAGTTCTGGGTATGGTGAGGGCATTGTGCCTTCATACTCCCATGTCACAAGCACTGGCTGTGACCTGCTCAGTGAAAGGGTGTTGGTATCTTCAACCAAAGCATTTCCCCAAAAGGATCGAGAGCCTTCTGCTTACAATCTTCCCAGCAGCCAGAGGAAGGAATCCTTTAGTACTGAAAGGAGATCTGGGTGGAACAGCACAGCATCTCTGACACTAACTGACTTCTTCAAATATTTCTTTTCTTTTTTTTTTTTTTTTTTTTTTTTGAGACAGAGTCTCGCTATGTCACCCAGGCTGGAGTGCAGTGGCCCAATCTTGGTCACTGCAGCCTCTGCCTCCCAGGTTCAAGTGGTTCTCCTGCCTCACCTCCTGAGTAGCTGAGTAGACAGGCATATGCCACCACACCTGGCTAATTTTTGTGTTTTTAGTAGAGATGAGGTTTCACCATATTGGACAGGCTGGTCTCGAACTCCTGACCTCGTGATCCACCCGCCTCAGCTATGTGCCGTATAAACTACCATTATCGAAGGCGTTCAAAACTTATATGACCAATTCCTTCCTCCAAGAGCTTGAGAGCAGGCTGAGCACTGTCGTGCACACCTGCAGTCCCAGCACTTTGGGAGGCTGAGGCAGGTGATCACCTGAGGTCAGGAGTTCATGACCAGCCTGACTAACATGGTGAAACCCCGTCTCTACTAAATACAAAAAAAAAAAAGAAGAAGAAGAAGAAAAAAAAGCCCGGCATGGTGGCGCATGTCTGTAATCCGAGCTACTTGGGAAACTGAGACAGGAGAATCCTTGTACCTGGGAGGTGGAGGTTGCAGTGAGCCAAGATCACGCCATTGCACTCCAGCCTGGGCAACAAAAGCGAAACTCCATCTGAAAAGAATAAAAAAGAGCTGAGAGCATAGATGATACACATATACACACATAACATATATTTGATATTACTCTGTAAGTTAACAAATATTTAGAGACATGTAAGAGGTAAAAGTCAAGCACAAGATATTTACAAAGTGGAGCGCTCATCAGTGAATGAAAAGTATTGGGGGGAAGTTCCTTTTCATTTGAATTAGGCCTTAAATATGAATGGGATTTTAACATGGGGAGATAAAGTAAAAAAAAATTAGAAAGTATGTGAGTCAATATAAAATAGGACCCAAGCAACAAGGCCAACTTGACAGAAATATAGGTTATATTTTAAAAGTTTATGTTGATATTGTCAAAATAGAAGTTGGTGCACATTTAAAAACCCAGACTTTATTGGAGATATTATGGATCTCTACCAAAAGATCACTACCTGTTTGTTTATGAATAGATGGAAGGAATGACATTTTGAGATGTGACCTTCTCTCTACTAGTATAGCCAAATGACCTTTCCCAAAAATTCCATGGTTTTTCTAGAATCCCGTCCCTAGAGTAGACAATCAAAATGTTTACTTTTATTTGTGGACATCTTGACTGACTGTTTTTCAAATGAACTAAGTTTTAAAAGTTAAACTTTTTAAAAATTGATTCTCCTAGGAGAGTAATTTAGCCTAAATATTCCATATTTGTTTGCAGAAAGAAGTTACAAAATTTTCCCAAACCTTTGCTGCTCTCCATGCATAATTTTGAAATAATTTCCTAAACTTTATACTTTAGCTAAGTATAGGACCAATCTTTACATCTATATAGAATAGGTTAAGTCTGTCCTGCATGGACTCAACTGATACTGAAATAAGAGGAAATACTTTAATTAAAATGTAAAACAAACAAACAAACCCCCATAGCCATGAAGATGCTATTTATCAAGCACCAGATTCTGAGTGGTGTAATTACTGCTAACATTATTATTGTTAGAAGTATTTTTATTCTAATTTTCCTGATAAGTGAATTGCCTGAATCCTCACAGCTAATCAGCAGCGGAGTTCAGGTTCAAACTCAAGCTGTTTACCCCAAATATATTATCCCCATTGAGTACTTAAAGTTGAGGCTTATACAATTAAGGAATTTAACCTGTTGTAGTCAGGCCTATTTGACTCAAAAGTTCATACTTCTAATCACTAGACTATGAGGACCCACATAAAAATATATTAAACAAGACTTAAAATATAGTTGTCGTAACAAAAAAAGGGTTCTTGTTGGTTTCCAAATAGTCATAGAACAAAATCCTGAGTGAAAGAAAAACAAAATGTACTGATAAATTTTGCATCTCACTAATTCATTATTATTCATTTTCATTCCTTGAGACAATTTTATCACATTTTGGTCCTCAAACCTCCAATACCACTTCTCCTATTCTCAGCTGATAATTGTGACTTATATACCACTTTGAAAGAAAAAAAGGCAAACAAGCAAAAGAGAACAGACTCTTTTTTCCAATACCAGATCTACCAATCTACCTCCATGTTTAAATGTTTAATCTGTTCTCCTTATTGAAATTAGTAAGTGTCCACATGCACTTCTTCTCTGCTTCCTTTCACAGAAAAACATCTCCAAAGGAATTGTTACTACTTGTGAATTCTATTTGACTCCTCCCCATCTCACCCCCATGTTCTTTTTGATCTCCTCCTTTTTTGGAATTTGCCCCACTACTCTGTTTAAAACCTTTCTTAGGAAGATTACTACTGACGTGTATCTTACTAAATCCAATGTATAAACCTTTTTTTTTTTTAACATCGTTTTAAGTAACTTCTCGGCAGTATTATGTAGACGGCTCCCTGCTTCCAAAAACACAGCTTTTTAGCCTATAGAAAACATCTGCTTTTCATTCTGCTTCAATGGCTGTTCCTCACTAGTGATATTTCCTTACTCTTCCTCCTCAAATTAACTCTGTATGTTAGTGGCTCTTGAGCTGAATTTATGGCCCTTTATTCTTCTCTATCATACTCTTTTCATAGATGATCTTATCTGTTCTCATGACTTGAAACATAATCTGTATGTGGATGACATCTGTTTTTATATACTCAGAAATAAAATCTCCCTGAGCTCCAAATTTGTACATACATATGATTTCTTGTCAACTTCCCTTTGATAAGACAAGGAGAAAAGCAGCCCCTGACATCTGAGATGTTGTGAATAAATGTTTGTGAATAAATATTTTTGTCAACATTCACAACCAGTCCATCAAGGTGTCTATTTCCAAAGAAAATTTTGAATCCCTTTTTACCTCATCACAGATAGCATCGTTTTCACCCCATAATTATCTATGGACTAGGTATACAATCTCCACTGAGTACATAGATTCTGTTCATTGATCTGTGTGAAAACAAGTGGCCTCCACAATGTATTCTCCATGCAAAATCTTAATAATTTTGAAAACATAATAAATGGTTTTGGGAAAACTGGATGTCCATATACAGAAGAATAAAACTAGATGCTTATCCCTCAGCAAATACAATAATCCACTAAAATGACTTAAAAACATAAACATAAGACCTGAAACTATAAAACTACTAGAAGAAAGCATAAGAGAAACACTCCAGAATATTGGTCTAGGCCAAGATTTTATGGGTAAGAATTCAAAATCACAGGAAACAAAACGAAGACAGACAAATGGGACTATATTAAACCAAAAACCTTCTGCACAGCAAGGAAACAATCAACATAATAAAGAGACAAACTGTTGAATGAAGTATTTGCAAAATCTTTATCTGACAAGAAACTAATACACAGAATATACAAAGAACTTAAACAACTCAACATAAAAAAACCCCAAACATTAAAAAGTGCGCAAAAGATCTAAATACACACTACTCAAAAGAAGGCATGCAAACCACCAACAGGTATATGAAAAAATGTTCAACATCAGTAAGAGTCAGGGAAATGAAAATCAGACCCAAAATAAAATCTCATCAAAACCAAAATAAAATATCATCTTACCCCACTTAGAATGACTTTTATCAAAAAGACATTAATACTGGCAAAGATGCAGAGAAAAGGGAATTGTTATACATTGTTGGTGGGAATACAAGTTAGTAGAAGCCATTATAGAAAACAATATAGATATTTCTCAAAAAACTAAAATTAGAACTACTATTTGATTGAATAATCTCACTACTACATATTTATCTTAAAATCAAACAGAGAATCAATGTATCAAAGGCATACATGCACCCCTATGTTTATTGCGGCACTACGCAATAGCAAAGATGTGAAATCAAACTAAGTGTCCGTCAAGAGATGAAAAGATAAGGAAAATGTGGTATGTATACACAATGAAATACTATTTAGCTAAAAAAAGAACAAAATTATGCCATTTACAGCAACATTGATGGAAATAGGAGTTATTATGTTAAGTGAAATAAGCCAGATACAGAAAGACAAATATCCCATGTGCTCACTCATATATGGGAGCTAAAAAGTTGATCTCATGGAGGTAGAGAGGAGAATAATAGTTACCAGAGCCTGGGAAGGATGCAGGGGTGGGGACGCGTGTGAAGAGAGTTTGGAAGGAACAAGGAATAAGTTCTAATGTTTGATCATAGAGTAGGGTGACTATAGTTAATAACAATGTACTGTACATTTCAAATAGCTAGAAGCGTGGACTTGAAATGTACTCAGCAGACGGAAAAGATAAATGCTCATGGTGATGACCATCTTAGCTACCCTGACTTGATCATTACACAGTGCATGCATGTAACAAAATGTATCCCACAGATATGAACAAATTTTATGTATCAATAAAAACATGTAAATATAACAATGTCATTTCACTGCTTAAATTCTTGCAATGATATACACTCAGAATAAAATTAAATGCAAGATTCCTATACAAATAGCTCTAGGGTACTTACTTCTATGATAGTATCTTGAAAGGCTTTTCCCTTTAACAACTCTGTTTTATCCATACTGCCTCCTTTTTGTTTCATTAATACATTACATTCTTTCCTGACTCAAGCTTTTTGCACATTTTCTTAACATTGCCTGTAACGTTCATCACTCATCATCCAGGTCTTTACATGGTGGGCTCCCTCGCTTAACTCACTTTGCGTTCCTAATTCAGTTATTCAAAGAGATGTTTCCTTACAACTCCACTTAAAATAGGACACTCCATCCTGTTACTCTGCATTGCTTTATCTGCTTATCTATTTTATTCTTTGGTAATAGTACTTGAAGATAGGAAATTATCTTCATGAATTGCTTATTTACTTATCTATACAATGATAGCTTCTTACAAGCAGAAACCTCTGTCTGATTTCTCACTGTATCCCCAGTGCTAAGAGCAGTACCTGCCAAAAAAGTTATTTTTTTAGAAGAATAACAATAGGTATAGATTAAATATCTCAAAAATGGCAGAAACAAAGTTTAACATTCATTTTCATATTATGTCTACTGGAGTTCAGTCAAAAGCCAGAAAGCCAGTCTGATGCCCATATTTGACGTGTAGACCCCTGGGAAAAGGCCAGCACAAATGGTACCAGCTCTGCCTGCAGCTCATGGACTGTCTTTAGACACAGCCTCCTGTCACATCATGTTTCCCTCTTTGTAGGGGAATTGCAGTTGCAATATGAAGCACACACCAGGTCATGTAAAGAATATCACACATGTATGCACACGCACAGAAAAGGAAATAGTAGAAGTGATGCTAACAGGAATATTAAATCTGTTATTTGGTTTACAATAGATGTAAATGAAAATGAGATATAAAATATACATAGCAGTAAAAAGAGCGACAATTGGAAAATAATCATAGCCAATAAAATTCTCTTTTCTCTTTTGAATCTCCAATTCAAAGAATTTTGCTCATCTGAATTTGTCCGGAAAGTTGGACCCTTTCCCAAATGGTCATTTTAAGTCTGGATATTGAAATACCATTTCAAAATACACTGGTTCAAGAAGGGTATTTAAACACATCAAAGCTATATAAATCATTCTAAATAATACTAACCCTATACAGTGTTTTGTACTGTGTCAGGCGCTGATTTAAGGGGTTTAATTATAATAATTCATTTAATCCCCACAACACCACGGTGAGATCGGTATCATGATCATCACTGCCATTTCACAAATGAGGAAATTAAAGCATAAAGCATGTAAGTTACTGAAAGATTTGGGTTTGAACCTAGATAGTTTTGATCCTATAGTTTATAGGCTCCTCACACTCTCTTGGAAAGCCCCTATTACCTGGGATCGTCTATCTCCTACTACCATCATGCTGTTTCTTGGTATCATGCTTCTCATGGGGCAGATTTCACGAGCTTTTTGGTGTATGTAAAGATCTTAATCTTTCCCCAACTCATAAGCATACTGACTCCTGAACTGTTCTTCCACAGATAGTGCAACAACAGCCTAAGCCCTCAGTATTCACAGGACTATGAAATGTCTGGGCACTGTAGTTTACATTAGTCTTTTCAGACACCCATTACATGCCCTTCCTAAGGCAAGTAATTAAGGGATCTGTGTTAATGCATTAAATGGTTTGCACGTTAACTTTCCTACAATTATCAGTGACAGGTTATGCATTAGCAAATATGTAAACGATGTGTTTGTGTTTATGTTGTTGTTTTGGAAATGATGGAGAACAAATACTGAAGGAGTTTCTATATTGTCATATATAGCTATTACTGGTATCTATACAGTTAAGAGACTTTCTAATTCTAATTTGATAATTATTTAACAATGGAAAAACCCTCCTTTTAAAAACTATAGTATCATGAAATTCTTATAGTCTTATTTTTACTTAATCTTACATATTTTGGTTTTCACACATTTGTTCATTGGGGAGTCATTTTTACCACAGTCTTTCATGTACTTGAATTGCCTTCTTTCCTCAAACTGACAGTAACTCCGTGAACCCTTCTTTAGAGGTCCTGGTTTCCAGCCCATTACTCATTTTAGTTGCCATCTCCAAGTCTTACACATGTTCATCCCATCAGTTTTGAAGTATAGAAATTAAACTGCACACTTGTTCTGACTCAGACTGAGAATTGTTTTCTAATACTTGCAGCCATCCTGCTCTGAGGACATTCAAGTTTTTGTTCGTTATTATGCTTTGTTTTTAACTGAACAAACGCCACTCTATGAAAACAGGATGCATAAGGATGCTTTTAGTAAGATCACATTGCTTATGCACATTAACTGGTTTCAGACAACCTGGTTTTTGCCTAGCCAGCTATTTTCTATTACACTCATCCCCTTTGAATACAATGTCATTTATTACGCATCATTCCTCCAGTGTTTCAAAGTCACAAGAAATCCTACCTCTCTCTCCAGATCTTGGCAATCTCATCCAAAGTGGTATCATTCTATAGATCACTAAAAATATTCTGATAACATAATCTAATAAAACCAGGCCAAGGACTTATCTTTAAAGGACAATACCTGATATGTCCACAGATGGTGATATTTATTGGTTTCAATTATTCTTTGAGCAGTTACCTAACTAATCATTGTCTAAAAATGTGTGTATTACTTACATTTGTAATAAATCAGTTTTATATAACAATCAGAAACAGTAAAATATAGAAATCTGAGTGCTATGAATATTCATTCATTTGTCCTCTCTTCACTTAATATGTACCTTCTCCTATGTTGATTACCATAAAGATTAAAATACAATTTTAAAATGTATTTGTTCAAAAAAGAATTGGTATAAATGAAACACACACTGTTGCCTTTGAAAGTCGTAAATTTGCTTTCTCTCCTTTTTAAGCATACTTGTTCCAATTTCTGCAACAATATATGTACACACACAAAGTTACAGACACAGACATTTACCTACTGGACCTCTATTAATAAGTCATTTACATATTCACTTGCCACAATATATATATTTGGTGTATGTTTCAGTAAAAGTTTTTCAAATCACAAGTATCCTATTAGCTACTAGCAGTTTAAAAAGTCTAGTCTGTATCATATTACGATCTGTACTATTTATCAGAGGAATATCAAAATGAACTAAATAAAAAATCCACTGAAATCAAAATATATTAAATGTATTACTTTTTCACAGATATCCTAAAATATCCCTTCATATCTCTCTACGCCCATGAACATTTTAAACACTACAGAAATTATTATATAGCTATCTGATAATTTGACTTTTGTACACTCTTATTTTGCTAAGAATCCATTCATACCTTTGTTTAGTATTCCACTCAAAGGTGTTATTCTTGTCACAGACTAAGAAATGTGGGCTCTTCTTAGAGGAATACATGAACAAATTCATTGGTTTACTGTGTTCATCTCTTGTATTTTTTTCTATATGATTAAGAGAGAATGTTGTTTGAAACAAGAAATACTATGGAAAAGTGAAAGAATTACATCTTGCTTCAAAGGATTGGAAAGCTATAAGGCTTGACTTTCTCACTACTGAATTGAAGTTTCATGAATCCACTCCAGCACTGCTTACATTTGAGGTACAGAATACTGCTCTGTAAATCTGGCTCTGTATTCACCACTTCTCTCAGAATCCTTCAGAGAACGAATATTGTTTACAGCCAACATGTGTTTACCAAGCACTGTAGCTTCGTGGGTGTGTTTCATTAATCATACAACTGCCTGAGACAGAGAAATTCGCACTTTTGCAAAATTCACTACAAGGTCACCGACAGCCCTTAGAACACTGGCTCATCTGGCCATCATCCAAACTGTCTAGGTGGCTATTGAAGTCTTACTTTGCCCTTGTCTACATAGGTTATTATGAAGGATATTTCAGATTAGACTCCTTGATGTAAACATCAAAACATAGTTACTAATCAAAGAGTTGTGCATATTTTTTGCCAACTAGCTTTAGATTGCTTAGTTACTAGAATGTTGAAATGACTATGAATGTCAAAAATCATTACAGTATAGTATAAGTTAGTATTTAAAAGTCTAGAAACTGTTAGTGCCTACCCATCCTGTCTGACATTGAAGGCAAAGGAAGGTCAGAACAAGTGTTAAAAAAGCCACAAAACTGAGTTATAGCACATATATACTTTATTTAACAACATTGAAAAGAAAGCTCTGTGGAAAAGAGAACATTGATTTAAGCTTGTCTATTTCTAAGAACTATCTCTTTGCAGTTACTCAACTTGGAAGTTTTATATTTTGTAAATCAAACAGCCTTTTTGGACTAATTTCTTTAACTGTATTAAAAGTCAATAAATTATTTTGATGTATATTTAGAATAGGTAAACAAATACTTTCATTTTAAATGTGTTTTGATTATTGCCTTATAGCTGACAAATAATTGAAAGATGGCTATTTTTTATTTATTTACTAGTTTTCTCTTAGCTGCATTTTCATATTTTAAATGCTTAAAACTATATTATTTTTAATCTACGTATCTTTTTGCATTTTCTTAAAGTTAGTTTAAAAATCGTTACCACCTAACTTATTTTAAAACCTGATAAAATGTCAACAATATTTTATTATCTTAATACATTTTCTACTGCATTTGATTATTTACGCTTTTTTCTTAATTGGGTATCTGTATAAATAAAATGTACCCATGGTCTCTATGTTTGCTTTGCCCATTCTTATAAAAAGGTGTGTTTGCCAAGAATTAACAAATACCATTCCAATTTTTCTAGTGAAATACGATTTTCTTATAATTAATATTTTGTGAACACACAATCATTAGAAATCATCTCATTATTTATATTTGATTGATACAATATGAAGCTCAGCTTGATAAATTAAAAAATTACTTATCTCTAAAATTATTGTTACCAATAAATATGTATGTATATATTTTCAAGTATATATTTGAATATCTGTGTAAATTATTGCTGCTATTCAAAAATGAAGCATGCTCTTCTGCAACACTGTTGAAGTACTGAGACTCAAAATCAACTAATAGTTGATAAGGCAGACACTCCTTCAAACACTTTTTGTAACATAGAAGATATTAAGGTTACAGAACAAGCATGGAACTTTTCAAAATGTATTATACAGGCTGGAGGCTACTGACATAAGAAATGTTCAGGTGCTATTCCCCATAGTGTCGCCTCAACAGCCAGGGTCTGGAATCACAAATACTTGTTGAGGGCAAGTGTATCATTTCTAGCACCATTCTAGCACACATTCTCTTAAATTCTTTCTTTGGTCTATGTGAATATGGACATGTTCTTTAACTAGATAACCTTGTTATTTTGAATTGAACTAATATTTTCATTCACAAATGTTGAATTTTCATATTAATTATCGATCCTAAGGGCTTAGCGAAAGTAGAATAGGCAGGAGGCAAAAGAGGGTAAAAAGCTGGTAAAGATTTTCCCTCTATGGCAGGACCTGTTTGGAGGAAGTATTTCTAGCTGAATGAGATAGTAACAGATACTGGGTTCAGCGGATAAGCTAGAGTTCCCAAGGGGAAGTGGTGACTTCATCACATTCTATAGTTGGTTGGTGCAAAGTGTTAGAATGTGAGGCGCCCGGGCCAGGTGCGGTGGCTCATATCTGTAATCCCAGCACTTTGGTAGGCCGAGGTGGGCAGATCAGCTAAGGTCGGGAGTTCAAGACCGGTCTGAGCAATATGGAGAAACCCTGTCTCTACTAAAAATACCAAATTAGCTGGGCTTGGTGGCGTATGCCTGTAATCCCAGCTACTCGGGAGGCTGAGGCAGGAGAATTGCTGGAACTAGGGAGGCAGAGGTTGCAGTCAGCCGAGATCTCACCATTGCACTCCAGCCTGGGCAACAAGAGCGAAATTGTCTCAATCAATCAATCAATCAATCAATCAATAAAATGTGAGGTGCCTGGAGATGTCTGTAAGGAATACACACTGCTCCACTGTTGATCCTAAAGAATATATTCCTTCCATCTACCTGTATGTTTGTACCCATTAAACAACCCCTCTTCAGCATTATCCATCTTCTCTCCTCTGGTTTTCCTTAAAAGGAAACCTTGCCATTATGTGGAACTAATCTTACCCTCAGCTTCAGCAGAGAACTTCAATTGGCTTAAAATACCAGCGCATCTACTGTCTTGGAAACAAAAAATCATTTAAAAATGGTACAAATCTTGGGAGGCCGAGGCGGGCGGATCACGAGGTCAAGAGATGGAGACCATCTTGGCCAACATAGTGAAACCCGGTCTCTACTAAAAATATAAAAATTAGCCAGGTGTGGTGGCTGGCGCCTGTAGTCTCAGCTACTTGAGAGGCTGAGGCAGAAGAATTGCTTGAGCCCGGGAGGCGGAGGTTGCAGTGAGCTGAGATCGCGCCACTGCACTCCAGCCTGGGCGACAGAGCGAGACTCCGTCTCAAAAAAAAAAAAAAAAAAAAAAGCTACAAATCAAGGCCGGGCGCGGCGTCTCATGCCTGCTGTAATCCCAGTACTTTGGGAGGCGGGCAGATCACGAGGTCAAGAGATCGAGACCATCCTGGCCAACATGGTGAAGCCCCGTCTCTACTAAAAATACAAAAATCAGCTAGGCCTGATGGTGCATGGTGGTGCGCGCCTATAGTCCCAGCTACTCAGGCGGCTTAGGCAGGAGAATCGCTTGCACCTGGGAGGTGGAGGTTGCAGTGAGCCAAGATCGCGCCACTGCACTCCAGCCTGGTGACAGAGCAAGACTCCGCCTCCAAAAATAAATAAATAAATAAATAGAAATGGTACAAATCAGAATCTGCTGGGTGAGGTGGCTGGTGGTTCATGCCTGTAATCTCACTGTGGGAGGCTGCGGTAGGCAGATCACCTGAGCTCAGGAGTTCGAGACCTGCCTGGCCAACATGGCAAAACCCCTTCTTTAGTAAAAATACAAAAAAATTAGCAGGGCTTGGTGGTGTGTGCCTGTAATCCCAGCTACTCAGGAGGCTGAGGCAGGAGAATCGTTTGAACCCAGGAGGTGGAGGTTACAGTGAGGTGAGATCACACCACTGCACTCCAGCCTGGGCAACAGAGTGAAACTCCATCTCAAATAATAATAATAATAATAATAATAATAATAATAATAATAATAATACAATTTAATTAAATGGTACAAATCGATTGAGACCAGAGAGGAGGTGAACCTCAAGACTTGTGCAGAGCCTACCAAAGGAGATTTTCTCTACTCTTGGACAATATACTGTGAAAGTATGAGGGCTAGAATGCTCCTTGGCTGCAAAACATTTACTACCACATAGGAAGAGGGTAGAGTTGCTGGTGGGATGGAGATCATCATGTAGTTTTTCAGGATGAAGTCAACACCCTGGGAAAGTAGCGGGAAACTAGAGAAACCAGAGATGGTGGTGTCGCTGGTCCTCCATGTCAAACCTGAATCTGAATTTTCTTTTTTGAAGTCAACACATTCCTTGCTTGTTTTTTCATTTATTTGTGTTAGTCAGTTTAAGTTGAGTTTTTTGGCACTTCCCAAACAAATTACCTTAGCTGTTATATTTTTCTAATACATGCCTTAAATATTGAGATGGGAAACATAGAAAAAATGTATTCAGAAATCTAAGCAGGCTAGTAGTTGTCATCAAGATTTGACTACTGGTATCAGGGTCCCATTCCTCAGGCTGAGCAGGACCAGAAAAGATGAAAGCAAGTAAAGGAGTCAGGCAAAAACATAACATTGTCTTAGTCCTAGAAAGAAACAGAGAAACAAGACTACCCATTACTGAGAAAGGAAATAATGCAGTCCTAGTAATTCTTAAGTCAGAAACTTCTAGTATAGGGACTTCATTAAGAAGAAATTGCATCAGTGAAGTTTGGAAAACAGCTATGTCTCAGGAGTCCATGTATGATCAGAGGAGAGGGAAATTACAACAGTTAAGGGTTAAAGTAGCTGCATCTGAAGACTTAACATCAAGGTCTTACCTGGAAGTATGGCTTAATAATAAATATTATTGAATGTTTATTAGTAAATGCTTTTGATTCTTAATAGGATCAGGGTAGGATTAAGCTGGCATTTCTTGAGGAAAAAGGAAAGGTCAGGAAGCTTGTAATAGTCTCTTTTCTTGTATAATATAAAAGAATACCATATTTAGAAAGTGTAATTGAAAAAGTAAAGATAGTTGGATGAGAAAGAAGATAATGGCAATAGCTATGGATAAGAGTTGTAGCAGGATATCATTTCCCCCTCCCTCCCTGATAACATACTCATTACAGAACAGAAACTTTACCCTGCCTTGAGCGTAGGAGAGTCCTAAGAAACATACGCTGAATAATGCATCTTTTACTTTTACTTCTGAAATTTAAGGCAAATGCCTTAAGCTTTTAGCTTTTAGGGGAATTTATTTTTTCTAGTATATTCAACATTCCCTGAATAAAAACAATTTCTAAAAGAACCACAATTCATTCTTACAAAGCATTCAAGCATATATAAAAAATTAGATATGAGAATTTTTTAAAGATCAGAACTTACTCAAATTTATATATCTTTTTTTATAAATAATTACAATAAAAGTAACCTGTCTTATTGTTTTGCCATTATAAAACGGCAATAGATATCATTTTAGGGTATTTTACCTCTAATTCTATGTTTGGATTTATCTATAGTTAGATAACTTAAGCTTTTCATAATAAACTAAATTAATATTTATCCAACTCCTATATGATAAACTTTCAAGGATTGGGGGATTTTTATTCCATCAATTCTCTATATGTTTAGTAAATTCTTAATGAAAAGGCAGTACACTTTCCAACATTGACGTGTTAGAAATAATGCATCTGCTCTACAAATAACTTACCTAATTGGTGAAGATTTCTGGGAAGAAGTGTGTGCATAGGCCCGATGGGTTAAAGGAAAAAGTTACCTTTCTATAGAGAGAGTGACATGTAATTTCAGGCCCTTAGTGTTCAAGAAAAGTATATCTTAAGGGAGTATAAAGATTTAGGACTCAGTGGAAAAAAATAATTTGCTCAAAGTGACACAGCAAGTTAGTGACAGACTAGAAATACAGAAGGTAAGAAAAAAAGACTCTTCAGAATCCCAGCATGCATACCAGTGAAACATTCTGTAAGTACGTAAAGAGATGACATGAAGTAAAATGAGTTGTAGCTGATAAACAGAGATAAACTATCCCATAACTCCACTAATTTAGCATTCCAGAGCAAAACAAAATGGTCATGTTGCTTTCAGGTAAACACATCTAATAACTGGTAAATTGACAGCAGTTTAATACATACTCCTATAAAGCCTACACAATAGCCACTAAACATCTCTATAAAGGAACCTCTAGATGGTCTGGCTTTAATATTGTTCTTGGCCACTAATCATAGGATAAAACTACATATAAATTTTCTTTCTAAATCTTTGCATTTTAAAAATAAAAACTGTCACAATAAATATATTTTAAAAGTTATATGCTATGTGTAGTGTGACATAAATTCCCTAAATTTCAATTCAGATACTTGAAGTTACCCTTGAGTTTATTCAATCATGAGTTTATTCACAGCATACAACAGACTATTTAATCAGGTACCATAGCGCAAAATATGTGCAAGGTGATGATATTTTAGGAAGATATACAGAGACAGCACAAATATTTTGAAGTAAAGTGAAATCATTGTAGGTTACTACCTAAACACTAGATCTACAGGAGTTAAAAAGTGGCTGGATGCAGACGTACTGCATTTTATTCTCTCATGTTTATGTAAGGAAAAACTGAGAAAATGCAGCGCTTTGGGAAGCTTTGTTCAGCAGTCAAATCATGAAAACATGTGAGAAAGAAAGAAACCCGATGATTTTCAGCCAAATCCTATGACTTCACAAATTTATATGCTGATCATGCTTCTTTTTCTTTTATATCACTTATTTTTGCTTTTCTTTTTACTTTATAGCATTGAATTTGCTACATGGTCTTTTTGTATTTAAATATATTATAAACTTCCAAGCCCAATATATCTAAACTGAAACCAAAGAACAAAAGTGAGACCTCACCACCACCACACACCAAATTATTGCTCTCATTCAACTTAGAATATGCTCAAATATATTGGAGAACTCAATAGCAAGTACCACTACTGAAAAAAATTAAACTAAATTTAAATATCTAGTTGTTTCATAACAAGAATACAATGACCTCACATTTAAAATTCTCATCTAGTATTAAAATATCTCTTCTTAAATATTTAGACATTATCAAAGCTGTCAGGAGTAGAACAACTGTCCTGCTCCCTAATATTTAGTAAGTAGCATGTTAAACAGTATAAACATGGACCTATAGGTATGTGTGTGTGTCTATACAATATGCCTAGGCAAAGAAGAGAGAATGAAAATGAAAAATAGTACATTAGACACTAAATAGCTTTATAATTTATGATCAATTCAACAAAGGGAAATACTCTAAATCAAATGAGCATATTATGTTTTTTAAATATTCTCAATGTAAGTAATTTTTTAAAGACATACCTTAAAAGCAGAAATAAGAAGTATCACTTAACTTTGTCATTTCTGATCTTGGAAATGTTTACCAAAACAATGATCATAAGTAATTTAATATATCTGTGCTGTCAGACTAGGACATTTGGACACTACAAGTTTCCACTCATGTTATGTTTCTGTTTTATTCTCCTCTGTGGAGTTTAGATTAATCTCTCATGTGACACTTCAGAGAAAGGAACAAGAGGACTGAGTGCTAGAATCTTCTCATTTACTTTATAAATTTCTGTTGATCCTACAGACCTCAAACTGTGATTTTGACATAAATTTCACCCCCAAAGATGGATTTCTCAACAGTGCTAAATTAGCCCTTCCCTTTGCTACAAAGCACTGTACCCAGACAGAACGCCAGAAATCTTAAAGAATTCATAATCCAGTTAGGGAAATGGAGCATAATTACATAAGAGATAAATAACGATTTACAAAACATTATACAGTAGAACATAATGAGTAGGTAAATATTTGCTTTGTATTCAGAAAAGGTTTCATGGAACTGGAGCATTTGCCTTGAGCCTCAGGTAATAGATTTTCAAATTAAGGAAAAAAACTAAAGGATGAGAAACACTAGAAAAGTGCAAGGCACTTTCTAGGGCAGTGGGTGTACCAGATTCATTGGGAAAGACATAATGTGGGTAAAAAGTAGTGGAGGAGGTTGAAAAGAGTTGGAGTAAGGTTTATGATGGAGTCACACATTTTCATGTACCAAACCTCTGAAAAAAAATTTTTTTTTTTTTTTTTTTGAGATGGAGGATTGCTCTGTCGCCCAGACTGGAGTGCAGTAGCGTGATCTCAGCTCACTGCAACCTCCGCCTCCCGGGTTCAAGGAATTCTCCTGCCTCAGTCTCCCGAGTAGCTAGGATTACAGGCGTGTGCCACCACACCCGGCTAATTTTTGTACTTTTAGTAGAGACGGGGTTTCACCATGTTGGCCAGGCTGGTCTTGAACTCTTGACCTCATGATCTGCCCACCTTGGCCTCCCAAAGTGGATTACAGATGTCAGCCACCGTGCCTGGCCCCTCTGAATATCTTAAAAGCATTTATTATCTCCTTTTCATTTTCTTTTCTCCTTGTTCTGCTTTCTCATGCAGACTGGAAATACACAGGGTAAACATGCATTTAAAATACCATTGATAATCACATTTCCCTCTTTTATAACATAACAAATGTGATATTAGGTTGAGTAGGAAAAATAAAAACAAGCATGAGATAAGGAAAACAAAGAAAAAAAATAAGTGAAGGACAATTTGAATAGAGAACTAAGGAGCATCATATCAAGCGGTCAAATAGACTTAAGAAACCTGAATTCCTCTGTTTTACAACATATATGTCAAACATAAAAATTCAACTTCTATTTACAGATCTTCTGTCTACACTCAATTTCGTTGAGACTTTTTTAAAGAGAAGGTTTAATTTCCAGTAACAAAGTGAACTAGCAGGAGAATAGCAGATGAGATACAAGTAGCCCCTGAATCATCAAACAGATATAATTATCAAAGAGGCCCATACAACCTTATGTAAAATGCAGCCCTCCATTTGTACAACATGGACACTGATTTATTCCAGTCCATTTCTTTGAGAGAGGAAGATCCAATAATTTGATGAGCAGTTTCTTTAGTATTCAGCTATAACATGCCCCCAAAATTTTACATAAAATGAAGTCAAAACAATAAAAATAAATATAAATAAAAATATGTAGTGAAGAAAAGCTATTTCTTGTCCTCTTCCTCATGTACTTACATAGCATTGGCTGTCAACTCTGTCTTTCTAAATTTAATAGAATCTATTTTCTAGTTATCATTATTCAAAGTGAGAGTTTCTACAAATCAGAAATCTATATGACTGCTCATATACAACAGAAATGAAAGAAAAAAGCACAAAAATATAATGGCCTATAACAACAGAGAAATGATCATTCTATTTTTTAGATGATGATGATGATGACGATTTGTTGAGACAGGGTCTCATTCTGTTGCCCAGGCTGCAGTGCAGTGGCAGGATCACAGCTCAATGCAGCCTTGACCTCCTGGGCTGAAGCGATCCTCCTACCTGAAATTCCCTAACAGCTGGGACTACATGAAAACACTATCATACCAGGGTAATTTTTGTATGTTTTGTAGGAATAGGGTTTCACCATGTTGTCCAAGCTGGTCTCAAACTCCTGGACTCAAGTGATCTTCCTGCCTCAACCTCCCAAACTGTTGGAATTACAGGCATGAGCCACTGCTCCTGGCCCTTATTTTTTAGATTATTAAATACATATAAGACTAGTCTGTAATGGAATAATTATCAGTAAAGAACTAGTGGAATAAAAGATAAAACAAGATCTCACTACACATAGCCCTTTGCTCTGTGACACAACTAGGGTCTTAATTCTCCTTTTATTTTCTTCTTTTTATTTTATTTCCTAGAGAGAGGTTCCTGATGCTTGTAGTACTGTTGCATAATATTTTCTTAATGAAAAAGAAAGGTTGCTGTGAGGATGAAAGTTCCTCAGGTGGCTGAGTATTCAGTTATATCCAAAAACAAAGATGAGCCCTTTTTCTGTTTGAAGTGTTGGTCTTGTAAAGAAGTCAAAGGTTATTCACAGTTCAGTGAAGACCAAAAATCAAACATAATGGACTTTCTGCTGTACACAGACAGAGATGTATGCAGGACCAAAATGCTCATCCTTGAACTTAAAGAACAGCATTTCTCTGCCCCAAGAAACCTCTGAAAGATTAAAGAAAAATGCATAGAGATTAAGAGAATGTGTCAAGGGGGTAAGGGAAATTTCCAAAAATATAACACAGAAATGAAGAAGAAAAATCCTGGGGTAGGCTGGAGGGGTGCAGATGACAGGAGAGGCAGGACAGAAGGGAAAAGGGGGAAAAAGAAAAAATAAGTTAACTATAGTCCAGAGAAATGAGCATTATGTAGAATATAATGTTTTAATGGGTTTCAACAGACTGAATGATAATAATGAAATATTATAAATGCTTTAATTTACTAACAGGAGAGTTTTCAATTAATTTTAAAATTCTCACTTACAGAAATTGTACTATCTGCTGACATTAAGAAAGAAGTCACTATAAATAAATACTGCCAGCTTTTCAATGTTTTGAAAAGATATTTTTAAACCAAATATTTTAGACAATTTTCCTATATTATATCAGAGTATAATTCATTATTTATTTAAAAAAGAATGACATTTCTTGAATTACTTTCATAAAAATTATGAAACACCCTACAGTAACATCAGTGAAATATTATCTGTACACACAAACATTTCGAGCCAGAGTTGTTATTGGTTTTTATTTGTAAAATAGCATTTTTCTCATTTAATAGGTAAAACCGCTTATAAAAGTGTAAGGGCTGGTAGTGGATAAAATGGCAGAAAAATAAGTTACTTAAGACACCAATTCTGAATTAAATGTTCCTGTTCTTTGCTTATAATGAATCTTTAAACAAAAATAAGCCAAGTAACTCAACACCTTCTATTCTGAGGGGAAAAAAGATTTCAAAAGTTTTTGTTTGAAAACATTTGAACGGACAGACAAGAGTTGAAGTGCTTTTAAGGCTAGAGTTGGGGGACATAGACAGCTGAGCAAAGGCTTGCAGACATGAAAGTAGGTGAAATCCCACATGAGAAGCAGAGTGATTTTAAAGGGATGAAATAAAAGTATGAATCTGGGAACATAAATTAGAGTAGATTGAGGAAGACTTTCAATGATGGAGCAAACATGGGTTTAGTTTGGATGGCATGTAGGATTTCATATACAAGTAAGAATTTCATAGTGTGAAAATTATATGACCTACCAGTGATTTAGGAAAACTGATCTAAAATAGGGACCTATAAGGAATTGATTACAGTAGTTTAGGGGGACTACATTTATGGCAATTGTAGTTAGAATGGAAATTATTACGATTATCTGAATCTTATATGGTGCAATGTGACTGACAGTGTTTCTTGTGCCTTATAAATACTAGTTCATTAAATCCACACAACCATCTATGAGATAGGAATAATCACTTTCCCCATTTTACAGTGAAAGGAACTGAGGCACCGGAAATTCATGGGACTTAGGATATTTACTATATCCAAAGTAAGAGACGTAATTTGAACTTAGGTGTCCTAACCAGAATCTTCATCTTTAACTCCTGTATAAGACTGAAAATTTGCAGATCACATATGAAAAGAATTATAGGCTGGGCATGGTGACTCATGCCTATAATCCCAGTATTTTGGGAGGTGGATCACCTGAGGTCAGAAGTTCAAGACCAGCCTGCCCAACATGGTGAAACCCCTTCTAATAAAACTAATAAAACTACAAGAATAAGTCAGGCATGGTGGCAGGCACCTGTAGTCCCAGGTAGTCAGAAAGCTGAGGCATGAGAATGGCTTGAACCCAGGAGGCGGAGGTTGCAGTGAGCCGGGATCGCTCCACTGCACTCTAGCCAGGGTGACAGAGTGAAACTCTATCTATCTATCTGTCTATCTATCTATCCATCTATCTATCTATCTATCTATCTATCTATCTATCTATCTATCTATCTATCATCTATCTATCTATCTATGCAGAATAAACATGATGTGCTACCATTATGAGTGAGAAAATTTAGTAGAAAATAAAGAGAAATCTGAGATTAATTATAAAATTGTCAACTTGAGATTGGAAACTCTGGAGTAAAAGCCAGTTTACAGTGATTGGAGGGATAAGGAATTTCATTCTTACATGGATTGAGTTGTACTCAGTTACTCAAGTGGCATAATCCCTCTCTGTTTTGAAGCTTTGATTTAGAGATTCAGACATTTCAGTGATGTGACAGCCCTGGAATTGAAATGTAGGATGTGCTTGAAGATACAGAGATGAACACTGACATGCATGAAGAAACAGAGATTAGCACTCATGTTGACCCATAAAGAAAAATGCAGAAAGGCATGGCTGTGTAATTAACACATTTCTATTTTTCATCTTCAGTCCTTGTGACACACAGGACAATTTGCTTTCCTTGAGTTACACACAGTTGACCAGTGTCTTTTCTAGAAACCTCTTTTTACTTGAGCTGGCCTTACTAGGTATCTCTCCTTTGCCTTTAAATGGGCATTGACTAAAACACGATCCAAAGCAGAGAAAAGAAAATCTCAAAGGAAGAAAAGGCCTTTTAGGAAAATGCTATTGAAACTGAGTTGAAAGAAGATGGATTTGATATATTATTCTATATTGAAATTTCCTTCAACTTTTAAAAGAATATAAGGATAGTAATATCCTTCTATAATGAGATTATGGATTCCCTTTCAAGATCAGAAAAAATATTATGGAAGGTAATTTTATACTTAATTGGATTGATTATTCTTATACTGGTAATATCAGTTTCAGCATACTTATTAAGTTTGAAATATTTATAAATACAGTACCAATGAATAAGACTTAATTATGTCGAAATGTTACATGAGAGGAAGAATCAGAAACACTTTTTCCTTTCTTCCTCTTCTCCTATAACTTCTTTTCTCCTTTGTGATTATCTTATTTTCAATGTTATTACACATACCATTAAACTATTTCTTCCTTTTCCTGACCTAGAGTGGGGTAAAAGGAAATCATGGTAAACTGAAATTCATAGATTTTATAAGAATCTCGTATAACTGCTCTTCCACCAAAACACTTCACTGAAATCACAGGACGGACTGGTTTGAGAATCAAACACCCATTTATTTATTTTGTCCACTTTCCAATATAGGTGTTAATGAATGGTAAAAGTTTTCAAAGACAGCCAGATTTAAAGAAGGGGTCTGTAAAATGCCCAAACTAGAAAAAAAAAATGTTACTCATATGTTTAAAGTGTGTTTAAAGACATCACTGCCGCTGATATAAAACTCACATTGTGTATAATTTTATTTGTCAAAAGGCTAAACATGGAAAACTTTTTAAAAGTCTGACATAATTTGAAGAATCCTTAGAATAATTTAAGTTTGTTAATTAAGTTAAATTATTTAAATGACACAAAAGAGCTAATATTCCCATTACACTCTGTAATGATCTAAAGTTGTCATGTTCTAGGGTAACTTGACTTCTCAAGGCCAGTGGAGATAAAAAATTTGGAAATGTACTATGACAGAGATAACAAAATGATACTGACTATAAATAGTCTGGAGAGAGACAGCTAGATAGGAGTGAGTATTTGCTACTCTTTTGTTCTTCGAATATCTGTTTTCCTGTTTTTCTTCAAAATATCATCTTCTGTTCAGCAATGGATGATGTTGAATTATTAAAGAAAATCATACTGTGTGTTACGGCGCCTGCCTGTAATCCCAGCACTTTGGGAGGCCAACATGGGAGAACTGCTTAGAGCCAGGGTTCTAGACCAACCTGGGCAACATAGAGATGTTAACAATTAATAATAGGGATATTAAAAATTAATTTTTAAGAAATTAGCTGACATGGTGGTGCATGCCATTAGTCTTAGCTACTGAGGAGGCTGAGGTAGGAGAATCACTTAAGCCTAGGAGTTCAGTGCTGCAGTGAGCTATGATCATGATACTGTACTCCAGCATGAGCAACAGAGTGAGATCCTGTCTCTAAAAATAAAAAATAAAAAGGGAAAATCAGAGGGTAATGTCAACAAGTTCTACTTTTTATAAGCAAAAAGTCTGTTCAAGTAAACTGAAATCAAAATTTAAAAACATTAATTTTTTATTGTTTTCCAAAATTAAAATGTAACTTAGAAAATACATTCAGACTACATCCATTTTTAGATTAAATATGTATTCGTTACCTAGCCAACACATAATAGATGAGATATTAAAACAAATGGAAGGACTGCAACAACCAAGGAAACAGCCTAAATTTTTGTGATTTCTGAATATCTAAGACTTTTTCTGGGGCGAATAAGCTAAAAGTTAGCTTATTCACCTCAGAAACAAGTACTATCATCTCCATAGAACAAGTACTATCAAGTGACCTAAGGAACAGACATTCAATCCATCTGAAAGAGAGCTTATGATATACAAGTTAACTTTTCTCAAAAGAAGACATTTATGCAGCCAAAAGACATGAAAAAATTCTCACCATCACTGGCCATCAGAAAAATGCAAATCAAAACCACAATGAGATACCATCTCACACCAGTTAGAAGGGCGATCATTAAAAAGTCAGGAAACTTTTAATTAACTTTTAAAATGTGAAAAATGTGCAATATGTGCAAAAAACTTGGCCAAAAATGTGCAAAAACCTTTCCTCAAATCATGTCATCAGAGTAAAAATGAAACAATGAGAGAAACATTGTAGAGATTAGAGAGGAAACAATTACCGGGAAATTAACAGTTGTAGCTGGTATTTTGGAGGCAATACACTGAAAGAGAAGAAACTTCCTACATTCCAGCTCTGAATAGATTTCTATAGTATTAGTTTAGAAACAAAAGCCCCAAAAATATTGAAATGCATTAAATGAAGAAAAATACTCATTTCTCTGAATTTTACATAAACAAAATATTGAGAATACCCTATTTTGTTGAAGATCTTATAGATCTGTAAGAGGTATCTGTTTATTCTATAAATTTTGGCATATATAATTCAACATTTGTCATTTTACTCTAATAGTTACCTGTTATTGCAATGACTAATTGAATATGCAACAGAGGAAGGTTGGTAAATAGAAGGTGATATAAACCATAGTATTCCTATTAGACGTAGCTTAGCCATAGCTGAATAAGGACTTATGAAGGAGAACTAAATGACACATATAGCTAAAGTCACAGAATTGTACTTAAATAAATTGTTAGTTGTTGTTCACTCTATAAATGAGTATTCTTAGTAGCTTGTTTTGGTATTAAGATCTGAGCTTAGGAACCGCTTAAAAAAATTGAAATGGGCAGACTCTTCTATCTGACAAAATCGCATACACATAATCATAAGATTCCTTTCTTCTATGATTGTATTGAGATGTACTTTAAAAATGTTAGTATTCACTTCAGTATTCCTGATCATACTTAAAAAGTAGCTTTTACCTAAGACATTGAATTATTTTAATCTTGAGACCCTTTTACAATGAGGATTTGTATCAAAAAATTACTTTTAGCTTTATGATTCTATAGGGCAAACTGTACATGCCAATAGTCACGTGGAAGCTGCATTTATCATTATTGAAGAGCTAGATGTCCTGAATGTTTGCTTTCTGCCAACTAAAATGCATAATTCTTAGTACAAAAATGTTTTTAATTAAAAATATGAGTATATGAGTATCTCAACCAAACATATTGTTCTATGTCTGTCTGGAATGTTCTCTCCCCACATCCTCTCTGTCCCTCTCCAAGCAACCATCTCTCAGCACATACCTTGTTTTGCTAAGGCTGATGTATTTTAGAATTCTTTCTGAGTATTCCTGTCCACAGTGATCTCTTCCTTCTATAAACTTTACCATATATAATTCAACACTTGTCACTTTACTCTCTTTGTAAGAGGTGGCCCACTTGGGACTGTTAGAAGAAAAACGTTGAAATGTTTAGGGCCCATAAACTGGGGCAGTGTTTAGGTTAATAGTAAATTATAATTACATTCCCCAGGATTTGTTGTCTAAGATGGAGAGAAGAGTAAATATTTAGAACTCCTAAATGGACAAAAGCCTAAGTACGTGTTTGTTGCTAATGAGGCATGTTGTTGTATTTGGTAATGGCATATTTTTGTATTTGGTTAGGACATTCGATAGGTTAAAGGAATAAATAGGTAAGAATTCATGAGTATATCCTTTTGGGAATTGCTGCTCTTTATCTTTTTTAGAACTGTACGATTTTCCTACTGCTACTGTGCTATAACAAATTTTATAAAGTTAGCATCTTAAAACGATAAAAATTTATTATGCTATATCTCAAATCAGAATTCCAAATTCATTTCATGTGGCTAAAATCAAATGTCTTTAGGGCTGTATTTCTTCTGGAGGTTCTAGATCAAATTTGTTTCTTGTCTTTTCCAACTTTTAAATGCTTCTTCTGTCATCCACAGGCCTCCTCCACCTCCAACATCAACAATCAAATCACTCCAAAATCTGTTCTCAGTGTTATACCTCCTTCTATGATTCTGATGCTCTTACCTTTCTATTTTCCTTATAAAGATCCCTGTGATTACAATGAGCCCTCTCAGACAATCTGGGGCAATCTCTCCATTTTGATATCCTTAATTTGATTATATTTGCTAAATCCTTTTGTCATGTAAGTTAACATATTTGCAGGTTCCAGAGATTAGAAAGTGGGTATCTTTGGGGGGGCTTTTTCTGTCTACCACGTGAACCTTTCTTCAGTCATTTGGAACTGGTCTTAAGCTAGAACTTTTTCTTTAAGAAATATTTCTTTCTAATTTTTAAATTTATAAATACTGTTATGTTTTCATGTGACCTCAAGATCCAAACTTATATGGCTTCATTGATTATTAGTTGAGAACAAGTACTATCAAGTGACCTAAGGAACAGACATTCAATCCACCTGAAAGAGATCTTATGATATAAAATAAAAAAAAGAAGCTAGTGAGTTTCATGCAAATAAAATTTTCTAGGAAACATTCATACAATTGAAAAAGAAGTTCAAGAGAGTCTGAGTAGCACTTACATCAGCTGGAAACAATATAAATTTTAAGTTCAAAGAGTGTAGTTAATTAAAGTTCCTAAATAAAACTTAAATCTTTACGTAAAGAAGATTATACTTTTATTTCCTTTTGTAAGACAATAAACACAGTAGTCCCCATCCCATCTGCAGTTTTGTTTTTCACAGTTTCAGTCACCTGCTGTCAACCATGGTTCCAAAATAGATGGTTACAGGACAATAAGATACTTTGAGAAACCACATTCACATACCTTTTATTACAGTATATTGTTATAATTGTTGTATCTTATTAGTTGTATGGTTATCTTTTACTGTGTTTAATTTATAAATTAAACTTTATCTTAGGCTTCTATGTATAAGAAAAATATAATGTATGTAGGATTCGGTAGCATCCATAGCTTCAGGCATCCACTAGAGGTCTCAGAACATATTTCTGGCATATAAGGAAAGGACCACTGTATTATTCCATGGAACATTAATATGAGATTAATATCAAAAAGGATTAATATTAAATTGGATAATTATATGTTAAAATGTTCAATACTAACATTCTAAATAGGTAAATGAAATATAACCATCAGGTTAGGTGCAATGAGTCATGCCTGTAATCCCAGCATTTTGGGAGGCCAAGGAAGGTGGATTGCTTGAGCCCAAGAGTCCAAGACCAGCCTGGGCAACATGGCAAAACTCCTTTTCTACAAAAAATACAAAAATTAATTGGATGTGATCGTACATGCCTGTACTCCCAGCTACTTGGAGGCTGAGTTGAGAGGGTCACATGACCCTTGGGAGGACAAGGCTGCACTGAGCCATGATTGCATCACAGCACTCCAGGCTGAGTGACAGAACAAGACATGTCTCCAGAAAAAAAAAAAAGAAAAAAAAAACTAAAAAAAAGAAATATAACCATCAATGTACAATAATTCATAGTTAAAATACATATATTGTAAAAGATGAAGATGAAGAGAAAAAATGTTCTAAATTTAATCACACATATATTACTCATATTCTTAATTCCAGTATTCATGAATGTCAAGTTTCCTCTTTAGAAATTTCACCAAGTAAAAAAAAGTAAGGCTGGGCGAGGTGGTTCATGCCTGTAATCCCAGAACTTTGGAAGCCTGTGGCTGGAGGGTCACTTGAGGCCAAGAGTTCAAGACCAACTTGGGCAACATAGCAAGAACCTATCTTTATAAAAAAGGAAAATAAAATAGTGAGGTGTGGTGGCATGCACCTGTAGTCTCAGATTCTCAGGAGGCTGAGGTGGAAGGATCACTTGAATCCAGGAGTTTGAGGCCACAGTGAGCAACACTGCACTTCATTCAGCCTGGGTGATAGAGCAAGACCCTATCTTAAAAAAAAAGTAAAGTAAAGCAAAGAAAATAAAAAGAAAAAAATAGAGTGATGCACATTTAAATTTATAAATATTATCTTAAGAAAGTTAAGTAATTTAAATTCAGTTCATTTATTTTTAAGTGTAAAATTAACATAATTTAAAATTTTGAATACTTTGAACTTCTAAGGGCTGATAGAAACATGTAAAAATAAATTACAAAGCAACTGTTTATTTCATGTTCCTTTGAAAAAAATCAAAACAACACTGCAACAAGACTGGCTCAGAAATAAGAGCTGCAAGTTTAGGATGGAGCTTCTCCTTGGATGTGGTGGATAGATCTTCCCTTTCACACATAATTGGAAGTGAGGAAGAGTTGGAGAAATTTTGATCCCCCTCTGGGCTCCCTGCTCCTCTGAAGAATTTTTGAGGGAGTAGAACAATCTGTTTGCCTGGAGGATCCTTGCTGTTCCTCCATCAACGTTCAGATTTGGCATTCTCAGGCTTGGTGGTAGCTACACCAGTAATCACACCAGTTTTAAAGGGACAGAGCCAGGATCACAGCCCCCAGGATCTTACACTTGATTTAACTCAGTGATAGCAATGTCATTTTCAACCCCTTGATTGATAAGTGCTATGGAATTGTTCTTGGTCTCTTAGAAATTGTTGAGCAAGAGGAACAGATGCCAAACAGATTCTAGCTGAGTCCCTGCAGCCTTGCCAGTGAGATGTCTAGTTTACACTAATTTGCATGAATCCCCATGCAAACCAGAGGAAAACAGAGGCTTCCTAAAATGGCTATCTACTTATTTAACTCCACACTTCTTTTCAGTCCTGTCCCCTGACTACCTCCCCAACCCTGTCATCAACACCAACTAGCTCTGACTCCTCGGGAGAGGTCACTGAATAGAATAGACAGCATTTCCTGGAATTAGCTTGGGCAGAGACAGAGTCTGTGAGACTCTTCTAGACCAAGGCCAAGTATAAAGGTAACAGAAAAAGCTTTAAAGGTCCAGTTAATCAGTTACAGGTTAGAATCAGAAAGTTAGTATGGCCCAAAGATTAGCAGAATGGGAAGGTTTGCAGGGTTTTCCATTTGGATAGAAATCAGAAAACTTAATTGAATTTAAAATGAATGTGCTGTGATACAGTAGCAATGTTTTCTCTTGTCTCTTTACACCTATCAGGAATCTTACTTATCTTACTAAAATAAACACACTGGAGAGAGAGAGAGAGAGGAAGACATGAAGAGGGAGCAGAGTGTGGGTTTCCTGATTTAAAAGCAAATCTTTCAAGTCTCTTTGTGGGTATCTGTTTCTGTTTTAAAACCAATCTCATACATATAATTAATCATAAAGTTTCTTAGTGTTTCACATTAAAAATTAGCTCTTGATATATGTCAGTCACTGTACTAGGCCTTACAGCCACAAAATTGGGAGAAAAATGTACAACGACAAATGCAAAAGCACACAAAACAACGTCAACTCCAAAATAAAGGCTTAATCTATAAACTTATAATTTTGGGAAAGACAAGCATACATATATGAAAAAGCTGTATGTTCTCCTGTTTCTGTTAGATAGGTAGATAGATAGAAAGATAGACAGATAGATGAAAGGAGTATCACTATGTCTATGTTAATTCTAAGAAGGAATGATAACAACCATTTGAAATCTTGGTTAAAAGGCTGCAGACTGAGCAGTCATATGTAACTCTGTAATAATGGCTGGAATAAACAAGGGAACTAGAGTCACTTACCACAATAAGTGGAGTCTAATCATGTCCAAGCTAAGACAATAGAGCCCTACTCTATTAACATTTATCACTCTGTAATGAAACTTTGTTTTCATGACAAGTGCTGATTTACCTGGGAGTTCTTTGAATGCAGGTGCTTGTCATATATTATCATTTTAACTCTAGCACATACTATGTTCACATATAGTATACACTCAGTAAAAGATTTGTAGAGAAATTAATGAATACATATATTTTAGATGATACTGAATCAGTAACCATACAATTTAAAGTCTGTTCATATATGCAATTAAAATTATTCTTTAAAATTAAATATATACAAACATACACACAATGACAGAACACTAAAAAAATTATACTCACAATTCTCTAGGTCCATTTTCACATTTACTCCTGATGAAATTATTTGCAAAATTTAAATGAATGGGATGGGGTGTTGACTACAATATACTAAACATTGCTCATTTCATGTATGTCACTGTAAAGTGGATTCTGTTGGTCCTTCCAAAAAAGCATTTCAACTTCTTTTATCTTCCCCATTTTTAAATAATTTTTCTTTTCTTATTAACAGTGATAAGACTACATACCCTAAGAATTTCTAAGGCAGTGACATTTAAAAAAATTATAGGTAATTTAAAAAATGCAATTCCACTACTACCCATGCCCTATGATTTCAAACACTCCTTTCAATTTATAAAATTGTGATGGTCAAATAATCAAGTTGAAATATGACTATTAGTTTCTTTATAAAGCTCATTCTGAAAATGATTGCCTTATTGGGAATGAAAGCACTCATCTATTGTCTCCTAGGTATTGACATGCTTTTTACAAGAGAACAAATGTGATAAGAAAATGTAGTTTTCCTAAAGTTACTCAATTTAATTAATAAATATTAGTAAATCAGTTTACCCAAATTCACCCTCTTTAATTATTCACATTTAATAGATAAAATATCATAGATTACTACTTAGGCTAACACCAAACAATACTATAACAAATTACAAAATCAGTTTGAAGATAAGTGCAAATATACATTGTGTAGAAATATACTTTAAAATAAAGGTATTGTTCATCTTTTTTATCAAATTTATAAGCTTCTTCTGAATACACTGTATTTCAGAATTTTCTTAGATTGCCAAGGTTCAGAGTAGTCAGAATCCTGCTACTTTACTAGGTTGTTGCAAAAGTAATTGGTAATTGGTATTAGGTATTGGTATTAGGTTGCCTTGGTACAAAAGTAATCATGGTTTTTGCCATATGGCAATTACCCGACAGTAGGTTTTCCCAAAGTTGCTGGTCTTGCTTTTGAAAAGAAAAGAAAGAAAGAAAGAAAAAAAAAAATCACTTATTGTCTAAAATTAGCTAGAGTCTAAGTACATTATTTAGTCTCTAAATTCTATAATGATGAAGAGCTTTTAAACCCTCAAAGTTGTATTAAATGTAAACAATAGATGGTTTTCCTTTTAATTGGAACTTTTTCTCAGAGTAAAGCTAAGACATCCAATTACACATCACCTGAAAGCTTAAACCACCACATAAATTATAATTCCTAAAGTTGGAAATTAGTATTTTATTTACTTGCATGCCACATCTCATCCAATTTTCACTGCATTCAATGATTTAAATGCTGTAATTCTATTTTTGTATAATATATTAGTATTCAAACCCACCTTTTTACTCAGTGCAATTTTTGATAGATAGATGAGTTAGATTTCTGAATAATTTACTATCTTCTGCAAAGATTTGAATTAACAGCTTTGTGCTCTGATTTAACTGATTGCTTATTCGCTTGCACCAGCCAAAACCAAGGCTTATCTCTATTGGCACCTCAGTATTATACAAACATCAATAAAGAATCGGGGAACATTTTCTTCTGTTCTGGTGAAAGATGCCATGTTATTATTACTTTGGGCTTGTTTTAGTCTAATCACTAAAATATCCTGACATCTCTTCTAGATGCAAACCTTTACTCACTTAGCATGGACTGAGTAAAAATGGCTTTAAATATATTTCAAAGCAAATGATTTATACAAGTTTGAGATCATATTGTAAATACATAAAGAAAATGGCTACAAAATGAAGCTGAATTTAGCTCTGTTAAAATTCATTAATTTTTGTGTGCCTAATCTAAGTGGAAGATGAATCCAGTAACATGCCATTCCTGGTGGGGAAAACAAAATCAATGCAGCTTTATTTTACTGTTCAGTGGGTGGGTGTCAAAACAACTTTTCCTGTGGAGAGAAAAAAACGAAGCTTCCTTTAAAAATAGCTGAGATCACCATTGCTGTGACAGTTTTGCTTTCTACCTTTTCTATGTAGTGGTTTATGCTTATAATCAATAGACAATATGGGGTATTATAGAATGCAAACATTGTTGAGGAGTATATTATCCCAAGTGCTATGGAAAGAAAGGAAAAATAAATAAAAAGAAAAATCTTTAATAAGAAATATAAACTGGAGTTCTATGTGATATAATTATTTTGTCTTAAAGGACTCAAAGAGAGTTTAGCAACTAATACAAGAGCTAAGAAATATCTTTTTATGTTCATCTTCATGTGGCATAAATGATAACACATATTATAATTCCTCATTATATTTCTACATTTCAGCAATATAAGCTCTTAAGAGTAAGAGGCTTTCTCTTTGCTTGCTTTGTTTTCTTGTTGTTGTTGTTACCAATTTTGAGGTTTTAGTACATGGGAAACCCAAAACAATGGCATGAAATTCTACTATAAAGAGGATTTTTTTTTACTGTTTTGTTAAATTTTTGCAATACTTCAAGGACTCTCTGGCTACAAAAAACTCAGATCACATTTGAAGGTGAATCACTGTTTTGGTCTCATACTGATTAGCAGGTAAACTAGCTTACATTTTTTCCCCATGATGTATGAAGTCAGCTAACATTTTCCCAAAGGGTCTGCTGGTCAAATGAGTTTTAAAAATGCAAAAAATTGCATAGAATTTCTGAAAATTCTGAACTTCTAAAATCCTTACGCTTTAGCGCATTAAACAGTACAAGAAATGCTTCAGGAAATGCCAAAACAAAGCAAAACATGCTTCTTATCCCATAGAAGTGACTTTGAAATGTTATTTGAGCCACTCAAGCAGTATTCAAAAAATTATCAATCAAAATCAAAAATAAAAACTAAAAGTAAGGGTGGTGAACATACACAGGTAATACTCCAAAAATGATTTCAATTAATTTTCTATTGCCAATATAGTTATATTGGGTATATATTATATTTAGCACTTTGCTCAGTGTTCTGAGGACACAAGTGGAGTAGATGTCCTAGATCTTACCAAAGAAACAAAATGATGTGTCCAAGTGCATGGTGAAGCCAATGGTTTATTGTTTTTCTTTTTGCTTTTATTTCTGGAGGTCAAAAAAATATAGTTTAACATGTCAGAGATAGATCATTGAGAAAGGTAGTCACTGAAATATTTTTACTGAATTTGAATAACTCTAGGTGAATAATATAAGCAAGGCCAGAGGTAGCATGGTAGGCAGCCCCTAAGAAAACCCCCCAACAATCACTGCCTGTTGCATTATAGAATGAATACCTAGTTGAGGTGTATATTATCCTAAGCACTATGGAATAAAAACAAAAATAAAAATAAAAACCTTTAATAGGAAATATAAACTAGAGTTCTATGTAATTCTTTTTTGTCTCAAAGGACTTAAGGTGAGTTTAGCAACAGTAGAGCTAACAAATATCTTTGTATGCTCATCTTCACGTGGCATAAATGATAACCCATATTATCATTCCTCATATTTCTGTTTCAACATTATGATAAGCTCCAAAGAGTAAGAGGCTATTTCTCTGCTTGCTTTGTTTTCTTGGACTTGGAATCATACAGCTATGGGTGTTCACAAGTCTGTGCAGTGCCTTCCACTTGAGTTTGGGCTGGACTTATTGATTCACTTCTTACAAACAGAATACAGCAAAGAGATGGAGTGTTACTTCCAAGAGTAGTTTACTGAAAGACTGTGGATTTTGTCTTCATGTGCTCTTTGACTTGGTCTCATTCTCTTTTATATTCCTTATACTAAGTCAGCTACCTGGGTCTGAGACAGCCCCATGGAAGACCCACGTGGTGAAGGACTGAGGATTGTCAACAATCACTTGAGCGAGCTTACAAGTAGATCTCCAATTTCCCACATGCCCTGTGAAACCTTCAGATGAAACCACTTGACTGCACCTTCTTAAAAGACTTTGAATCAGACTTACCCAGATAAGTTGTTTCTGGGTTTCTGACCCACAGCAATTGTGATATAATAAATATTTGTTGTTTTCAGCTGTAACATTTGGGGTAATTTGTTACTAGCAACAGAAGAGTAAAAGAGAAGGAAATGAGTTATGTAGGGAAGTAGAAAATTATAAGAGGTTCAATCACATTATACCCTCAAGCAAAATATTCAATGACTCTCACTACCAGTAAAATACATTCCTTTCTCAGTTTTCCATCTAAGGATTTACATGATCTGTTCCAACTTGTCTTCCTGGTCTCACCACTCCATTCCCTCCCCTGTCTCTTAATCACAAATTAAACCAAGAAAATTCTATTTCTTGAACATGTTCTAAATTTCCCTACTTCTGCATGCTTTGCTCATAAGCTTAATTAAATTTAAACGCTAAACCCCAAATTTGCAAAGCCGTATATTGGAAGGGGACTTAGAACCATATAGCTCTGGGTTCATATGGATCAGTGAGTATCAGTTTTTTTCATCCATAAAATGGAGATACTAGTAATCATAAATTGCTTTGTCAAATCAACAGGAGAATGAATGCAAAGAACTGTGCTTGGTGCATTTTATAAATGATAGCTTCTCTTCTCTCCTCCATCAATTACCTGCTCCAGTCCAAGTTGTAATCTATATTGTGTTTTCATCTATGTTCACATAGCAATTTGTATAAATTGTTATAATTGCCAAGTACACACATCACAATATCATTAATGTGTCACTACTGTAACATATACAACACAAATATATGGTATATACATTATTGATGTGCATATAAGTATATAACACATACTTACTAGAGGATAACCAACCCAAAGGATATCAGCAAACTGGGATGAAGAAAATCCTGGCAGGCCCTTAACCAAAATAGTAATATACTTATGATTTGAGGGTCAAAATTTGGTTGACTTGAAGTGAGTGTTACAACTTGCATAAAGTAGTAGCCTTTCTATTCCTAGAGAATTCTTTTGGTTTGATTTGTTTTCTTAACAGAAAATGTTTTTGCATAAATTTATAAATTTATATTGAGATTTATTCTGTTAGCAAAGAAACCCAGAAACACTTTAAAACACCATTTTGTAAATTAAGTCTTTTTATTGTATACGAACTTTTTTTACTTTTGTTTAAAAGGGCTATGACTTCACATTTAGTAAGTACATGATAAACATTAGTTGACTGAATGTCTGTATATACAAATACATAGGGAATAAGCTTTAATTGGAGAGAAATTCAGATAAATATTTGATAACTAAGATATGTTATTAGATAACTAGATAACTGAGAATGTTATTTGAGATTTGAAGCCTATGTTTTCCTACAGAAAGGAAAGAAACCCTTAGTTACCAAAGGTGATGCTAATTTCTTTCATTTTTTCCCTCAATGCATCAGAACAACTCTCAAGTCTAATTTATGATGACCATTTTTTTTCCTGTAAAATCTCTGGGGAATCAAAGTTGCAACTTCATAGTCTGATTCTGAAGAATCAATACTCAGTGATTCTAGACAGGAGCACCAAATTATTTCGCTGGAGCCGAACCAATGTTCTGGTACATAGAATTGATTTTTAACCTGAGTCCTTTCAGCTTAATCGATATGGATTAACTGCTTTAGTAACTTTATCAAAAGATGGGCTATCTGACTCAATCTGCTTGTTTTCACAAACTGCTTTGTGATTATAAAAATTAATTTTGTTTAACTGAAACCAGCATATATATTTTTTCACTACAGCTTCAAAATAAGAAATATTTTATGGTAAGATAATTTTCAAATATTTCATCACTACTTTCTGTATATTACAATGCATAACAAAAGAATTTTTAAGGTTGCATTTCTTTTATACCAATTAAAAAAGCAGCTACTTTCATGTATAGTGGTGCACCACATAACAAAGTTTCAGTTAACAAAAGACTATATATATGACAGAAGTCCCAAAAGATTATAATGAAGCTGAAAAATTCCTATAGTCTGAGTGACGTTGCAGCTGCGGCAACACTACAGTACAATGCATTACTTATGTGTTTGTGGTAAGGCTGGTGTAATAAACTTAATGCCTGCACATAGGATTTTATAATCTGTAGAAGAGAATATATTTGAGAGAAGAAACTAAAGGTTGTTTAATTTAAATCCCATTTGTCCCTCTCCTATCTTAAATTTTAATTTCAACTCTTATCCATATTTATTCCATTTCTTAGTTCCTGGTAAACAGGCAAAATGGAAGTAAAATACAAGATGAGTAGATCTCTTTTCTCTCTCATCTATGATTCAAGCAATAAACTTAACTTTGCCTTGTTTTTCTAGAACATGCATAATATAAAGCACAATTTATGTTGTACTCAATATTTTCACCTATGCCTTTTTCCATGTTTTAGAGTTTCTCTCAGTTTTCTTACAATTTATTCTTCATTTTGTGCTTACTTCCGCTTTTTATATGTTCTGCTATAAAAGCTAAGCCCAACAGAAAGCTTTATCTCTATATAACTGCATTAATTTATTAGATGTATGTTTGCTTTCTCATTAGGAAATCTGTGAGGCTATAATAAAACTTTCATTTTTTAAAGCTTTCAGCATTTGAGCACAGCTATCTTTGTCATGAACTCACTTTGTTCAGAAGATTTTCTTAAAATCTAGGGAATATATTAGACTCTACAAAGCATTTATTTCCTTGGCTTTATGGCACCTTAGACGATACGAACATCTCCCAAGATTCCTGTCACTTCCATTTTACAAACTGACGCTTCCTTGACAAAATAAGATCTAAAATGAAGCCCTTACTCAACTTTCTGAAAAGCAGAGTTTTCAGTAAGGTAAAAATTATCAGATGTTCTGCTTTTAACTGAATGAGACTTCAAGTAGATACCTAGATATAGTAGTTAATATTTACAGTTTAATCCAACTTGTTCCATTGTAAATTTAGAATTATGTGCAACTATTCTCCATAGCCCCTTTGTGAAAACTGAAATAATAAGGATGTTAGACTCTCCAATTTATCCAACTTACTTAGACTTCTAACTCCTTATTCCCTTATTCTGAGACAGTGTTGCTCTGTCACCAAGGCTGGAGTATAGTGGCGCAATCTCAGCTCACTGCAACCTCCCTCCACCTCCCAGTTCAAGTGATTCTTGTGTCTCAGCCTCCCAAGTAGCTAGGATTACAGGCATGTGCCAACACACTGGGCTAATTTTCATATTTTTGGTAGAGACGGGGTTTCGCCATGTTGCCCAGAGTTGTCTCGAACTCCCAGCCTCAAGTGATCCACCCCTCTCGGCCTCCTAAAATGCTGGGATTACAGACATGAACCACCGCGCCCAGCCCCCTAACTCCTTATTCTTAATAAACGGTGGTAATAGTTGTGGTTCACTCTTGGCTACTGTCAATCATGTCTACCTAGGATATATAGAGTTATGTGCAATTTTAACAAAGCAAATTGGAATTTAAAACTTTGTTCTTCAAATTCTATAACTTATTTTAAAATTTCATTCTAGAATCATGAATTCTTAATGAGAGCTAGTATTTCCATGGTACTTATTGTTTTAATTACTCTAAATACTTCGTGCATATTAGTTTATGTATTCTTCACAGCATTCCTTGATTTCAGGTATCATTATTACCCTTATTTTAGAAATAAGAAAATTGAGGCACATGAGGTTAAGTAACTTGTTCAAGGTGTTACAGTTAATAGTGGTAGAAGTAGACACCACATTTGTGCTTTTGTCTATTACATGACTATAGTCAAAGAAATACCTGCACAGAAAAAGTACAATAGTCATACAATTTTACATTTGGTTAGTTCACGTGGTGGATGCTATAAATCTAGTCCCCATGTGCATTTAAGGAGCATAGATTTTGATTTCAGACTCCAAGTGCAACTTTTTTTAAAAATAGTTTTAAAATGTTACTCAGTCCTAGAATAAGAGTGAGATGAACATGATAGAGCTGCAGTATGCTAACCTAGGCGTATTCAGGATCTGCAGAGTTGTAACAGTGATGCTTCTAACTATGGTGGTGAGTGGGGAGTGGACGCTGAAGGATGGGAAAGTGGTGGTGAAAGAGATTTGTGGCATGGAAATATTTTATTCTCAGACCAGGCTGCTCTTAACACATAGACACTGTATGACTGCATGAATTTATCTTATGTTGGCAGCAGAAGGTACCGCCTTTTTGAATATCATTGAGGCCATCTTCTCATGATTTGTAAGACTACTTTAAAAAGAATGTCTTATAGTACCATGTACCATTAGGGTGTCAAATTAATTTTAATTGATAAACCCTCCTGTATATTGATACAGATTTTTGCTATCTGACTAAAATGCAGTGAGCTTAGTTTGGAATTAATAATATATCTAATTCACAGTGGAAAAAAGAAAAAGTCCCTATGAACATTTAATACGAAAAAAATCATTTTGAATAATTATGATTTTAATAGCTATTTTGAATATGCTCATTTAATCATATTTACAAACAAGAGGTAATAGGAAGAGAAGTAGCCGACTTTGTTGTAATGTGAGAGGCATGAGGCCATAATGATTTTTAAGGGATTAGTCCTAAATCAAAGTCTGTAGAAGGCTTTGAGCCATCTCTCCTATTTCTTATATTAGCAGAACCAGGGAAAGTGGCTACATCCTGGCCATTCTTCATTATATGAACAATTTTATCATAATAGACTGTAATTCTGCAAGAAACAGCAATTCTGAAAGGCTAATGCTTCTTTTTAAAATAAAGAAGTAACTACCTAATGCCTCAAAGTACAGATTGATTAGATATTAAAGACAGGAAAGGTGATTTTAAGTTTCATGAAAAAAGACATATTTCTGTCAAGTTTCTGAGCTGTAGGCAAGATAGATATTTAAGTAATGATTCAAAGAAAACTACCTTTTTTTGTTCATTATTCTTGTTCAAATGCTGATACATTACACAACTCTTACAACATATACTGTCATCAAACACAGTTTGACAGATGGACAAATTTTAACTGTTCATTACCAACGTCTTAAAGTGTGGCTGGTGCAAGCTATACAAAGTAATTTATTGAAATTTTTCTGAAAGTAAAAGCACTTCAAATCAGCACTACTTTAAGACAACATCTTAAATTCCAATTTAATCAATACTCATGTCATACTCTGATTGTTCAAAGGCCATGTTTCTAAAATAATTACAACAATGTGGTTGTCCACTAAGCTTTCCTTTTGTTTCATGTTTTAATAAATGAAGATATTTGGGGGTCAATCACTAAGGCCTTATCCATTATTCATATTATAAAATCAACCTCAAAAAAAAAAGTACACATGCAGAGCTACAAGTTGTTTGACTTATTTCTGAAAGTCTTTCTCACTGGGGCAACAAACATCTTTGTCTTTAATGATTGTTTTTAATAGTTACTTTAACAATTCACAAAAGATTTAGGATTTGAATATACAGCCTAAAGTTTGAGATCCTTTTCTATTATTATTATAAATGTTCAATAAGAACTAATCATAATCATCAACAGGTCATTATGTTACAATTGGGAAAGGGTATTGGATCTGGAAGCTAGGGACTTTTCTCTAAATAATCTTATGTTTCTTTGAGCAAATCATCCCACTTCTCTAACCCCAGCAGACACTAAATTCTAGGGTGTTATTTTTCCAAATTAATAGAGTCACTTGGCGTCATCTAAAGGAGTGGTTCCCAGATGGGTATAGCAGATTTAATATGTAAACAGTCATAAGTCTCTGGTATACTAAATTGAAACTTTCCTTATTTCTTGTTAACTGGGCCACACTTAGTTAATATCTTCTTTTTCTCTTTCCCCTTGTCATGTTTCTTTAATTACCTCCAGTACACAATAGTTTCTTTTGGTTAAATGTTCAGTTATATTCTGGATTGCCACCCCACCCGTTCCCCTTTTCCTCATTCTCAGGAGTAAGATAAATTCTAGGGCATTTTATTTTTTTTCTTGGTTCAGAGAAAGAACATGAGGTAAGGCTCCCACTCTGCTTTTCTCTGGGCTCTGCTGAAATGATTGGTGCTGCCTCACGTTCCAGTATGAGCTTTTCTCCTTGCCTCATACTCTTCTAAAGTGTTTGTAGCATGCACTCCATGATGGCTGGCCATCAGTATCCATGCTTTCAGTGGCATTCTTCCCAAATCCAGAGATGCCTTCTTCATTCACTACCAGCTTCTACTCATCCACCAGTCCCCCTCTGATGTCTCTCACGGACTACACTGCATCTGATTTAGCCATTGCCAGTCCACTGTCCAGAAACCATTTTGGTTGCTGAGTATCTCTATGAATCTTTTGATCACTCAGGCTACCACCTTTCATTCTGGGAGTCCTCTCAGGTTTAAATAATTTTCTTAGGTTCTGACCTGCAGGTGATAGAGATACAAGGATTCAACCCAGTTTGTATTAGACCTTCAAATTCTTGACTCTATCCTGCTGGTCAATGATATGTTTATTTCATTTTAGGAACAAAGATGACTTGTGGCATTAAATGTGTTCACCATATAGTTTAGGGCATAAATGTCATCCAGTTCTTTAGCCTTCTGCTCTTGATGTTAAAGCTTAACTTTTCTACTTCCACAAAGATGTTCCTTCTGAAAATTTCTAAGAGTTTATTTTAGGAAAGAAGAGGCAGCCACAAAATATTTACAGAAAAAGGTATTCTTACAGAGGACATGCTATAATTTTCAATTGGATAAGATCCTTTTATTGGCATTTTTTAATGCTATAATTCTGTCTACTCCTTATATAGTTGATTTAGATGGTTTGAAAAGTACTGTCTTTTTAGTACTTTTCTCTTGCTATCTTATGATACTTTCTAGATAGTATTTGCTAAATTTCATTCAGTTATTTCTTATTTAGAATAATATATTATTTTCCCTATTGTTTCACTATGCTTTATTTATAAATTACAACAAATTTAGAGAATAAATTCAGAAAACTGAAATTTCATGTAGTTAATACCACCAATGATTTATTTGGATTCATGTACTAATCACATTGATGTTTTCACCAACTTTTTATTGTGGTAAAATAAAATATACATAAAATTTCCCATTTTAACCACTTTTAGGTGTACAGCTTAGTGACATTAAGCATATTCACATTTTATAACAGCCTCTTTCTCCAGAGCTTATTCCTTCATCTTTCCAAACTGAAATTCTCTGTCCATTGAACACTAACTTCCCATTTGTCCCACCCTGAACCCTTGGCAACTACCATTTTACCTCGTGTCTCTATAAATTTGACTAGTCTAGGTGTCTCATATAGTAGAATCATACAATATTTGTCCTTTTGTCACTGACTTATTTCACTTAGCATAATAACTGTAAGATTCATTTATACTGCAGTATGATGTGTCAGAATGGTCTTCCTTCTTAAGGCTCAAGAATATTCCATTATATTTATACCACATTTTGTTTGTTCATTTTTGTGTCAATTAACATTTGGGCTATTTACATGTTTTGTCTATTGTAAATAATGCTGCTATGAACACAAGTGTACAAATATCTGTTCAAGTCCCTGCTGCCAATGTTTATGGGTATATACCCAGAGGGTAGTTGCCATCATCAATTTTTGAATAGTGATGGCTTGTACTCAGAAGATGGTTCTGAAAAAAGTAGTACATATCATATATTTTCCATATATATTAGGTTATTATAAAGAGATATTTTTTCAGTTCCTTTTATATTGATCCTAAATTGTAATGTTTCTGCATATTTAAAGATACACAACTTTGTTAATAATCACATGGTATAGACAAATCAATATATTTGCTTATAGGACAAGAGTTTTATTATTTATTTATTTATTTATTTGAGATGGAGTCTCGCAAAGAGCTTTTTTTAATTAGTGTACAATACCAGGATTCTGAAATCCCTGAGCTTTATTCCCAAAGGTAGTATTTGGCTGAATTTCTGAATCCATTTAACTCATCTGAGTATGAATTTCTTAATGTTTTAAATAGTCTACCAAACGTATTTTAAAGAATTACTGTAACAATCACATATTTTAAAAGAAAACTGTAGACCACCTCATCAATTTAGACTAAGGATAAATTGCACACATAGTGAAGTGAAAATTCAAATAATTTTTCTCAATTTTACCTGTGTAATTTTCTTTTATCCTATTAGGATGCTTGGAAAGATGTCCAGAACATCTTTTGTTCTTAAAAAAAATGCTGAAAATTAATGTACAGTAAAATATAATTTGACTTAAAAAGAAATATGAACATCCTATGAAATGTTCTGGAGACAGTACATGCAAAACCTTAGTAATATGAATTTGAAAGCTGAAGAATCAATTCTTAATATATGTATTTATGTTATCACTTAATTCATCATAATACTTGCCATTTTTTATAGCTAAGAAAATTATTCTAAGGTGGAAAATCCTTAAATAATAAAACCGTATTATCTTACTAGGAGAAGAAGCAGAACACCTATCTATTGCTAGTATCCTTGACTTAGAACATCCTTAGAGGAAAATATGCTACTTCAAGAATTGGCTCATTCTCTGATCAAAAGACTGAAAGTTCTCTACAAACATACATTAAGAGCCTTCACTTCTTGAATTACATGTCCTATTTTACTTCGTCATCTTTTCTTCCCCCTATTCTCCCCCCTGTAGTTCTCATTTGTACCATTTCTCTAGATCAACATCTTTGACGTCCTCTTTGTTTAGAAACCTTATCTGCATTACTCCTCTGGCTCATGCAAGTTCATAGATCCAACCACATTTTTCTACCTTTTAGTAGCATTTCTCTACCTTTTAGTAGCATTTGTCAACTTTCTGTTCTTTTGAAATTTTGAAATAGTTGCTATTAAGCAATGTTGTTTTTTAATGTTTTGGTCTAAACATAATGTACCTTCAAATAAAGATGAGGATGAAAGAGTAACGATCATTAATTAAACCATTGTAGCATTTAATATTTACAAGAAAATCACCGTACAAGGAACCATTAGAGATAAATGGACAAATATGCTTTCTATAAACATATGGTTATAGCATTTGTTAAAAGTGTTTTATAACTTCATAAGTAGTCCTGTTAAGAACCTGTCTTTTGGCCAGGCACAGTGACTCATGCCTGTAATCCCAGCACTTTGGGAGACTGAGGCGAGTGGATCATCTCAGTTCAGGAGTTCGAGACCAACTTACCCAACATGATGAAATCCTGTCTCTACTAAAATACAAAAAATTAGCTAGGCATGGTGGTGGGCACCTGCAATCCCAGATACTTGGGTGGCTGAGACAGGAGAATAGTTTGAACCCCGAAGGCAGAGGTTGAAGTGAGCTGAGATTGTGCCTCTGTACTGCAACCTGGGTGACAGAGCGAGACTCCATCTTAAAAAAAAAAAAATCTGTCTTTTGATATTTTCATCAAGAAACTGGGTCACAAAATTTATCCTAAGTGAAAGAGATTTAAAAAAGTAAGATTGCAATAAATTGTTTGTTTTGTAGATTTTAATCTTTAATAAAAATTCTTTAAGTTCAGAAGATAATAAATAATAAAGAGAGTAAAAGATTATTCCTGTTTCCACTATCTTATCACTTAAGAGTATTCTGGCTTTTTTTTTTTTTTTTTTTTTTGGACAGGGTCTTACTCTGTTGCCTAGGCTGAAGGGCAGTGGTGCTATCATGGCTCATTGCAGCCTCAATCACCTGGGTTCAAGCAATCTTCCTGCCTGAGCCTCCTGATCATCTATGGCTACAGGCATGCAACATCATGTCTAGCTGTTTAAAAAAAAATTGCAGAGACGGGGTCTCTCTATGTTGCCTAAGCTGGTCTTGAGCTCCTGGCCTCAAATAATCGTCCTGCCTCAGCCTCCCAAATTGGGATTATAGGCATTAGCCACCATTCCTGGCCTGAAATTTTTAAAAATATATACTTTTATATAATAAATGTGTGCATCTATAAATAAACTATATTTAAAATTTTGTATCTTTTAAAATTTACAGCTGAAGCAAAAGGAGTTTTCTGTATTTCCATAATTACCCTTTTACTGGCAAAACACCATGTAAACAAGTACACAGTTCATAATTTCTTCAAATTTTCCAATATTTTTGGATATTTAGGTCATTTCTCAGCTTTTTCCTATGTTTCTTCACATTTGCTATTATAGAGTTATCTAAACTATATAATTTTTTCCTGATTTGGGGAATATTTTCTTGCAAAATAGTCTCAAATTTTTCCTTATGAGATTGTATTTGTGGGCACATTTAAGGTTGATTACACATGTGATTAAAATCTTTTCAATTTATACTGCCATGCATACTGTAACAAATTTTCTCACAGGTTTTCTACAAATGAGTAATATATATTTTTAGACAAACATAAATTTAGTAAATATACTATAATTTTGTATGAAAAATGGGATCCTTATATTTCTCTATAAAAATTTAATGTTAAAACAATCATTCATTGTATTTAATATTTTGTAAATTATCTATGTCATTTGTCACATAGAAACATTGGGATATTTTGCTTTTTGGAAAACAAGTGTAATTCTGGAGCATGGCAGCAACACTCTGGAAGTATGTGAATGAATGAATTGTGCCATATTAGAAGTCAATTTGCTTGATTAGTGGTTATTCAATAAAACACTATTTTCTTGTAGTTCAATTCATTGAACAAGAAAATACATTTTGTTTTAATGACAACTGCATATTCTTTTTAATGCAGTTACATCTGTGACTTTAAGTGAACACATTTGATCCAAAATACATTTATTACATTACTCAAAAAATGTGTGCTTCATTTAAGTATAGACATACTGTGTTTACTTTAACATATATTAACTGAACAAAGTTAAACAAATCATCAAGGTCCATATGGTGCTTTAACTAAATGGGTTAGCATATTAAATATGCTTTATAGCTCGTCAAACATCATTTTCTTGACAGGCACCTGTCAGCCTGTTGTACTCTACAAACCTACCTGTAGAATGTAAGATAACTAATTTTCTGTCATTATTGCTTAACATTTCTTTGGCACTGTTGCCAAGAATTTCTGGCTATTAAGGTTTATTCTTGCCTTTGAAATACAAGTGGCCCTTGGGAGCATGAAGAGGCTGTTTTCCTTCTAGCTTTACATATACCTTGGAAGTATTGCCTTATGATAGTCTCAGGTCAGAAAAGTACGTAAGATTTTCTCAGGGCATTTTCAAGTGTCCATAAAGAAGAATGGAGATAGGTTGTTGTTCTGCCTCTGCCTCTCTTTACCCTCCCCTCATTCACATTGCCATGCATTCAACAACTGCGTATTAAGTGGTCATTGCACTCCAGACATTGTGCTGGGTACCAATGCTGCAATGGGGCAGCATCCTTTGAGGAGTTTTGAATTTAGGAACTAAGTCATGGAGCTATTTACCACAAAAATAGTAGAATATTTATGATTCTTGTCATCTCCTCACTTCCACTTTTGCTCTGGAGATATTTAGATTGCTTTGCTGATATCAGGTCAGAATCGAAAATCAAAATATAACACAAGATGTAAAATTATTTTTCCTCAATGAAAAATCTCCAGGACTCCCAGATTTTAAACATTTAAGTGAATACATTTCAACAACACAAATGATTTTCTCCCAGGCAATCATGGATGAACTGACTCAAAGCGTATAATAGGATTTCCTCAGGAGAGCAAACCACTAAGGCAACTCCCTATGTGATGCTGTAATGTCAAATAATATGGAAGGGTCCCAGTGCTGTGGGAAGCAGTACATAAAACACAGACAGCTGAACAAGCCTTCATTTATATTAGATTGTAGTAATAAAAGACCATCAAAATGATCATTCTTCATTGAATAACAAGAGATTAGGGGAAGTGAGGGTCTTATATCACCAAAGCCTTCAGTTTTCCTTTACAACGTACTATCCAAATTTACTGTTCTATGCCTTAATTCATAATTACAACATCTCAAAGCCTTTTAAGGCAGGGGACATGACCACTACAGGGCCAGACAGCTTTGCATTAATGCACAGTATTCCTGCTAATGATATCATGAGCATGTCAAAGCTCAAAACTTCCTCTGTTTTGTTCTTTTCACTGAGGAAATTGGCTAAAAAATGAAAGTCTTTGCAGAAAGTCAAAGGGCAAGATAGAAGAAAGCAATGGAAGGATCTAACTTTCATGAAACAATCTTAAAATCTATTATTGGAATTTTGACTCGTGAAAGAAAATGTGTTGTATTCATTTAGTGAATTCAAATGTGACTCAACCCACTAATGTGAAAATGCAGATTTATGACCTACTCATCCTTGCTAATGACTATGTCATTTACATGTGTTTGCCACATTAATAGGGAATAAATGAAGATTTTTATAAAGGAGTCATTTGATTCTGCTCAGATGTCTAATGACAGAAAACATCTCAAGTAGAAAACCATTAAATTTTTTCATTCTATAGCAGTTTCTTCATAAATGCATTTCTTTCTCAATATCCACTCCATATCAGTAAAAGTCAATTGTTTGATTATAGTTAAAATTCAACTTACTGATATTTTAGTAGGCTATCTGATATGGTTTGGCTGTGTCCCCATACAAATCTCATCTTACTCCTACAATTTCCACGTGTTGTGGGAGGGACCTAGTGATACGTATGTGAATCACTGGGCCAGTTTTTTTCCATGCTATTCTTGTGATAGTGAATAAATCTCAGATCTGATGGTTTTATAAAAGGGTAGTTTCCCTGCACTCGCTCTCTTCACTCGTCTGCCACCACGTGAGATGTACCTTTCATCTTCTTCCACCATGATTGTAAGGCCTCCTCAGCCATGTGGAACTGTAAGTCCATTAAACCTCTTTTTTTTTGTAAATTGCCCAGTCTTGGGTATGTCTTTATCAGCAGTGTAAAAAGGAATAATACAGTAAATTGATAGCAGGGGTGGGGTGCTGCTGAAAAGACACCTGAAAATGTGGAAGCGACTTTGGAACTGGGTGACAGGCAGAAGTTAGAACCGTTTGGAGGGCTCAGAAGAAGGCAGGAAAATGTGGGAGTGTTTGGAATTCCCTAAAGTCGTGTTGAATGGCTTTGACCAAAATGCTGATAATGATATGGACAATGAAATCCAGGCTAAGGTGGTCTCAGACAGACATGAAGAACTTGTTGGAAAATGGAGAAAAGGTGGCTCTTGTTATGTTTTAAGCAGACAGACTGATGGCATTTTGCCCCTGTCCTAGAAATGTGTGGAACTTTGAGAGAGATGATTTAGGGTATCTGGTGGAAGAAATTTCTAAGCAGCACAGCAAAAGAGGCGACTTGGGTGCTATTAAAGGCATTCAATGTCATAAGGGAAAGAGAGCATAAAAGTTTGGAAAATTCGCAACCTGACAATATGATAGAAAAGAAAATCCCATTTTCTGAGGAGAAATTCAAGTTGGCTGCAGAAGTGTGCATAAGTAACTAGGAGCCAAATGTTAATCGCCAAGACAATGGGGAAAATGCCTCCAGGGCATGTCAGAGACCTTTGCAGCAGCTCCTCCCATCACAGGCAGGGAGAGCTAGGAGAAAAAAATGGTTTCACGGGCTGGGCCCAGGATCCCTCTGCTGTGTGCTCTAGGGACTTGGTGCCCTGTGTCCTAGCCACTCCAGCTGTGATTAAAAGGGACCAAGGTCCAGCTCAAGCTGTGGCTTGTGGCTTTAGAGGGTGCAAGCCCCAAGCCTTGGCAGCCTCCATGTGGCATTGAGCCTGTGGGTGCATAGAAGTCAAGAACTGAGGTTTGGGAACCTTTGCCTAGATTTCAGAGGATGTATGGAAATGCCTAGATGTCTAGGCAGAAGTTTGTGGCAGGCATAAGGCTCTCATAGAGAACCTCTACTAGGGCAGTGGGGAAGGGAAATGTGGGGTTGAAGCCCCCACACAGAGTCCCCACTGGGGCACTGCCTAGTGGAGCTGTGAGAAGAGGGCTACCATTCTCCAGACCCCAGAATGGTAGACCACTGACAGCTTGCATAATGTGCCTGGAAAAGCTGCAGTCACTAAACGCCAGCCTGTGAAAACACCTGAGAGGGAGGCTGTACCATGTGAAGACACAGAGGTGGCAGCCCCCAAGACTGTGGGAACCCACTTCTTGCATCAGCGTGACCTGGATGTGAGACATGGAGTCAAAGGAGATAATTTTGGAGCTTTAAAAGTTGACTGCCTCACTGGATTTTGGACGTACATGGGGCCTCTAGCCCCTTTGTTTTGGCCCATTTCTCCCATTTCAAATGGCTCTATTTACCCAATGCCTGTACCTCCATTGTATCTAGGAAGTAACTAATTTACTTTTGATATTACAGGCTGATAGGTGGAAGGGACTTGCTTTGTCTCAGATGAGATGTTGGACTGTGGACTTTTGAGTTAATATTATAATGTGTTAAGACTTTGGGGGACTGTTGGGAAGGCATGATTGGTTTTGAAATGTGAAGACATGAGATTTGGGAGGGGCAAGGGGTAGAATGATATGGTTTGGCTGTGTCCCCACCCAAATCTCATCTTGAATTGTAACTCCCATAATTCCTAAGTGTTATGGGAGGGACCTGGTGGGAGGTAATTGTATCATGGGGGCAGGTCTTTCCTGTGCTAATTTCATGATAGTGAATAAGTCTCATGAGATCTGATGGTTTTATAAAAGGGGAATTTTTAGCACAAACTTTCTTCACTTGTCTGCCATCACATGAAATGTGCCTTTCACCTTCTGCCATAATTGTGAGGCCTCCCCAGCCACATGGAGCTGTAGGTCCATTAAACCTCTTTCTTTTGCAAATTGCCCAGTGTCAAGTATGTCTTTATCAGCAGCATGAAAACAGACTAATCCAGCATGAAAACACTATCCAAGACCTAATTTTGGTAATATATATATATATATATATATATATATATATATATATATATGTATATGTATATGTAAATATATGTAAACTGTCTATGTTAACTAATTTTTTTAAATTTTATTCTTGGTTATATAACCCACTCAGAGAGAGAACAAGTCTAAAAAAGTACTGAAATATTGGCCATTCTCTTATTTTTTCCTATTACTAACATAAGTTTACTATATTCCGGTAAGTTAGAATATTTTAGCTCTTATTTTGTCATTTTATGTGTTAAAAAGTACACAAAAGAAAGATGTGAAAACACTACCAAATCTTGTTAGAAAAAGTCAAGTCATTGTTCAATTCCCACCTATGAACATCACATACCGGGGCCTGTTGTGGGGTGGGGGGAGCGGGGAGGGATAGCATTTGGAGATATACCTAATGTTAAATGATGAGTTAGTGGGTGCAGCACACCAACATGGCACATGTATACATATGTAACTAATCTGCACGTTGTGCACATGTACCCTAAAACTTAAAGTATAATAAAAAAAAAAAAGAAAAAAGAAAAAGTCAAGTCAAATGCAAATCCAAAATATCATCAATAATTTGACTCTGGGTTTGAACTTTCAACATTCCTCTATCCCTGAGTTACCCCTGAGTTACATACAGTAGCTAGATCTCAAATATTAACATTTATTTTTAATATTCAAGGGAATTATTGATGGTAATTCATGTGAAGCTAAATAATCTATTTGTATACATTTACCTAAAGAAATGTGTAACACAGAAATATTAATGATTACCTAAATTCAATCCATTATGACATTTGCATATTTCATTTAACATATTAACATATTAAATAAGAGAATCCTGCAAACTATAGCAATATTAGCAAATTCTGTAATGTATTATTTGAAAGATGTATTGGTAAATAAAAAACACCCATTCTTCCTAATATAGCCATAAGTATATTTCAAGATTTAATATTCTATATACTATATATGGAAGTAGGGGAATGCTGATCTACTGGAATTTCGCTATAATTAGAAACCATAATTGTTAATATACAGCATAATAAATAGCAACTTGGAGTGTTGCTATGGCATCAACTGGTAAAAGTGCTAATGTGATACAAGTGCAAACTCTTAGAAATAATAATACCAACACAGCATCCCAGTTTAATTTATTGGAAAAATAAAACTAATTTTTTAAAAAATTGTTCACTAAAGTATAAATACCTTAATATTAAAAATAATAATGTAGAACATAGCTAAATGAAATACCTTCAAAGATTAACATAAAAAATAACCGATTGTAAATACAAAATACATATACCAATTAGCAATATGAATAACTCATTTTTTTAGCATATTTAAAAGAAAGGAATTTTGTAAAATACAATTTACTCAGAGAAACTCTTATATACTTTATGAATTAATTTTTCGTGTTGATCAGATTAGTATGGTAGACTAAATTCTAATACGGCCGTCATGATCACTCTCCTCTCAATGTTACTTCTATAACTATGTTACCTTATAAGAAAAGAGTATTTGCAGATGGACTATGAATCAGTTGAACTTAAGATAAAGACATCATCTGGATTGACTTAACAAAACCACATGAACTCTTTATTTCATTTTTATTTTTTCAAAGACAGGGTTTCTCTCTGTTACCCAAACTGGAATGCAGTGGCAGGATCATAGCTCACTGCAGCCTCAACCTTCTGGGTTCAAGTGATCCTCCTGCCTAAGCTTCCTGAGTAGCTGAGACTACAGGTGTCTGCCACCAGGCCTGGCTAATTTTTGTATTTTTTGTAAAGACAGAGTTTTACTATGTTGCCCAGGCTGTTCTCAAACTCCTGGGCTCAAGTGATCCTCCTGTCTTGACTTCCCAAAGTGCTTGGATTACAGGCGTGAGTCACCCCATCAGGCCTACATGAACTCTTTAAAAGCATAGTTTTCTCCAGCTGGTAGCAGAATACAGATGTTTGAAGTGTGAGAAGGATTTGAGGAAACAGTTACTCTATTGCAGAAATGGATGGGACCACAAGGCAAAGCCTGAGAGTGGCCTTTAGAAGCAGACAGTAGCTCTTGGTTGACAACCAACAAAAACTGGGGACTTCAGTTCTACTTTCACAAAGAAATGGATTCTGCTAATATCCTAAAGTAAATATTTTCTTAGTCAAGCCCCCAGGTCGGACTGCAGTGAGATGAGATGTTGATTTCAGCCTATGAAACTCTGGGGAGAGGACCCAGTTAAAACACATTCAACTAATAAGTAGGTCTGCTTAGCAGGCTTACTTTAATAAGCAGTAAGGAATGAATTGCCATTAGCATGTCTCTAAAGGGTCTGAATACATACTTCATTTTAAAATTTTACTTTTGGAATAATTTGTACCTATGCAATCAACCCCAAATAGCATTTTTTAAAAAAATAGTACAAAGTATAAGTTACATTAACTTAGAAATAAATACTTTAATAGTGGGATTACCACTAAATAGTATTCTGATTTTTTAACCTCCAGGGAAAATTAAAATTTATAGATAAGATTTATAAATAATAAATAACCGGTCCTATAAGGTTTATTCTTTATCCTTAATACTTTAGATTAATAATTAAAAAAAAAACACTGAATCTGAATGCTAGTTTTTTCATCATGGTTATTTAAGTTGCAAGCAATTTATTATTAATAGTAATATAAGTTTATTATGGAAGTTTACAAATTATTGTGTTTGGGTGTGAGAGTAAATATTATGTCCATAATAAGGTTACTCTTATTTACTTACAGTCTGTATGCTTTCTGTCTTCTCAAATGAATATCATATTGAAAACCTAGAGGTAACCTTGGAATGTGAGTCTAGAAGAACAAAAGATATCAAGGGTGTATCAAGGAAATAAAGAGTAATAAAACATTGGCTTCAAACATACGAAAGCCATTCTCTCAATAAGGATAGCACAGAAGTACAGTAGCCCAGGGATTTCAAGTGTAGTCGTCACCAGGACATGGCACAAAAGCTAAGAGAGGGCCTGGCAAAAGTTGAGAGCATTCCTCTTACGTTTGCTTTTAGTTTATCTGATAGAAGAAAAATTACATACATAGCACATTGGAAAATATACCTGATGGAGCCACTGCTTATAACTCAAGCTGCTAAATGAATTATAAGACTTTGGTTATCTTTAAATGCACCCACAAACTATAAATAATCAAAATAAGATTCAAGTTTTTAATTATTTCATTTATCTAAAAATTGTTTATTTAGTACTTACTATTTTCTTCTCTTTTAGCAATTACAAATAAAATATTAAATAACATACACAAAAAGTTTTGTCCATATCAGTTGCACATTGAAGTGGCTGGAAATCTATCAAAACAATAAACACTTGATAATTGGTATGGCATCAAGAAAAGAACAGTTTTTTTTCCTATCAAAGGCAAATTTTAATAAAAGTAATGATGTTCATTTAAAACTAATAAAACAAGTAATATAAACTGTATGTCAAACATATAAAAATATTAGAGCAATTTAAATTAAAATTAATTTACTTTCAAATTTTAGATAATCAAATTTGTATTTTTCCAAACTGCAGTTGGAAAAAGACAACCTGTTACATATACTGAAAATTCTATTAGAATAATAGTACTTTTTGGAGACCTTAAATTTTGCTCAGATGTTTGAGAATAGGCATCAAGAAATCTAATAGATACATCTGTAGTCTTGATCCAACTCTGAATCTGAGAAAGGAAATATATTTGACCTTTGTAACGTTAGATCAGGTTCACTCTAACCTGATTCGTTATCACTCTACAGTCAGACAAAATGGCATCTTGCTAAGCTTATGTCTTAAGGAAAAGACTTAATACAATTTCCATAAAATTTAACTCTTATATTTTGCCACTTCCCCTCTAATTCAGAAGCAAATATATGGAGAATGATCAAATTACATATATATATATATATATATTTTTTTTTTTTTTTTTTCTCTACACTATTTTGAGGAACCTCACAATGGCAAATTTCAGTAAGGACATTACTTGCCAGACACAAACGTTCCTAGTTTTTCTCTTAACTCTCCACTTTGTAGATCATTTGAAAAATTGCAACAAACTGCGAATAGCGTATCATTACACTGTAATTTTGAGACAAGAACTTTTTATATGCAGCTGATTTATCTTAATCATCTTCGTATCACCAGTATAAAGCACAGTGGCAGGCAGAATGTTGTTATTAAATATTTACTTAACAAATAGATGACTTTTTCAACCTACTTATTTAATAATTACTATTAAATTTTAGTGAATGTCTTCTATGAGTCAAGTATTGGTTTACACATATTTTCTAACTTATTCATTGATAAGTTGGGCATTGCTTAATCTGTATGTGAGAGAAAATTCAAAAGAATGTTAATAAGATAATTTGTTTTTTCTCTAGCTTATAAGAAACGTAAAAGTGGACACTCCAGGGCTGGTATAATGGCCCATGATGTACAGGACTCAGGCTCCTTCTATTTTGCTGATCCACCAACTCTCAGCCTGTGAGTTCTATTTCCTGGCCCAAGAAGCACCAAACATCACATTCTATCCTGGAGGGCACAATTCAGATACACAAAATATTTCCCCCTTTATTTATTTATTTAGAGACGGAGTTTCACTCTTGTTGCCGAGGCTAGACTGCAATGGTGTGATCTCAGCTCACTGCAACCTCCGCCGCCTGGATACTCCTGTGTCAGCCTACCAAGTAGCTGCGATTACAGGCATGCACCACCATGCCTGGCTAATTTTTTGCGTTTAGTAGAAACGGGATTTCACCATGTTAGTCTGGCTGGTCCTCTTAAAAGACATTCGCTACAAACATGTCTGAGAAAAGTAGGGATTATTCCAAGTATTCAACTGAAAATCAGAAATTTTATTACTAAATAAAAATGAAGAACCAATACCAATATGGTGATAATCTGTCACATTTCCAAAAAAATTAGACACAATTTTTATTGCAGATGAGATAAATAAGTGACAGAGAGGTTAAGTGTTTTTCCCAGGTCCACAATAATGTGTGGGAGCTAAGATACAAACCCATGCTGCCCAATTCCAGAGCGGTGCTACCAAAACCTTAACTCATGAACCAGTACTGGTCTGTAAATACAGTATTACCATCCCCCAGGAAATAACGACAGAAATTGAAGCAGTTGCATTGCTGTGACACTGAGGTACATGATTTTTTATTTTTAGAAAGCATTAGTCTGTGACTGATTGATGGGAGAAACTTGAATTGGTTTGGAGTTTGCAAGGTAATAACTATTCTGACTTGCTGGATATTTTTAATTCTCCACCTTTGGAATTATTCTTTCCTTTAAAATTTAAGTAAAACTGCCTTCATTCCCTTCGCTTAAACTGTGGGAAGTCCAGTGCTTCCCTGGACTATGTGGACTCCTAGAATACTACATTTTCATGGGCACCTTTCTTCCCAATTCCATTATCTCTTAACTTTCCTCTGTTTTACTTCCATAGCCTTCTCTGTCTCTCACCATTGCCAAAACCAAGATCACATCTACCTACCTTCCTCCATTGGTTCTCATTCCCTCATTCATTCTCTCTAGGAATTCCCTTGGAACTCCAAATTAAGTTTGTTCGTTGGTTTTTTAATTCTGCAGAATAATTCTGATTTTTCTTTCTCTCACAGAATTCATCACTCTATTCTTCCAAGAAACCCATCAGGGACCATCAAATGTTTTCTGTTACAACACAGTCGAACTTCCTTCAAACACAGAACCATCTGAGAAAAGTTTTCTTGCTGTTATTTTCTTGTTTAAAATGGTATTTTATTTTTGTCTCTTTCCTTGCAATGTTATTTTCGCACAATATTTTAGGCACTCTACAACATACGCCATAGCATAGCTCAAAAGCTACATCTCATACCAGGCTTCCTCTCAAATGCCTCTTTCATTCTTTTATAGAACTGTATAAAATAAATCTTTCCACGTTAACATTGCATTAGCATTCTTTAGATATTTTTCTGTCTCTCCCACTAGAATATCAACTCTCTAGAGGAGTGAATTATTTCATATTTGTCTTTGTCATCCAAGCATTTATCAAGGTGTCTTGCATAATGAGGCATTTAATATATTTGTATTTGAACTGCTTGAAGAGAATCTATTATGCCAACTTTAGAATTTATTTTCAGATCTTTATGTCAAAATTTTGCTATCCATTTATAGGTCTGAATGTGTCAAGAGTGTTTTCAGAATCTATATATTTCTACCAAAGAAATGTGCCCACCGTTTGGATACAGCATTTGTGCTTGGCTCTATAGTCAAAAAGCCAGACCTCCCATATATGTAAATCAATAATTTCAAATTTCAGAAGACTCAGATTCTTTTTATAATGTACTTTTTATTTTCCTTTTACTATTTGAGATTCAGCTTATAGACATGTAACTTAGCTGATTTTTTAAAAAATCAATATAACTCCCTATCTAACATTTACAGAAGAATTAAGAGGAAAGTAATTCTAGCGTAAGTATTTAGATTTTTAATTCTGTGTAAAATTAAGTGGTCCTATGTTTGTAAATGTATAATCACCATGAATGTGATGGCTATAAAAATGATATAGTATGTCGAATTGGTGACTAAAAATGATGACTGGAATTAGTAATATAGTTCTTTAAAATGGTACAACACTGTTGGCAAACTTTCAGACAAAATAAAGCATCATTTTATTTCACTTTAGACAGTAGTTGTAATTATAGAGAATTTAATCTGAATTTAATCTGTATTTAAACCACACCAAATGTATGCTGGGTTTATATTTACATGTAAGATAGAATTTGGGTCTAGGTTCTGATAATCAAACAGGTTTTCCTATTGAGCTCTGAAACAGGAATTTTTCCTGGAGGCAGAACAATTCTTTATTTTGCATGTATTCTACTATCTCTGCCCACTAAACACTAATAGCACCCTCCACATTGTGATAACCAAAATTTACCCCACATATAACCAAAACACCCCTAGAGGACAGCATCATTCCCATGGATAACCACTATTTGAGTGGTTATCCACATCTGTAGATAATATATGTGTGACTCATACATTTGGATATGGATATCCATATGGATTTCATATAGATTAGTACAAACTTTACTTGATGATACCTCTCCATACACATGACATTTATTAAAATAACAAACATCAGTATTTATTAATCACTGCTTAAATAAAAAACTTTAAAAATAGGTGAGCTTTTCTAGTATCATTAAACCGTTGACAATCTTTTTTTAGAATAACCCTGATATTTACAACTATAGCCAATAAGAAATCTCATCTTGAACTGTAACATCTTTCCACATCTTCAAGTGCATACGTAGCTTTGACTCTTGACTGTAGAATTTCAGAGGCCTATGAGTTTATTATTGTCTTAAAACGTATGATGCTCCCCCGTTTTTCTTAGGTTTTGGTCTGGAATCACATGTTCAGAACCCATCAAGACCTTGATGTTTTTAAAACTGCGCCTTTACTTCAGGCTGCAAGCCAGCAGGCTGATGAGGTGTCTAGACCATCATACCTCATTTGTCACTAACGTTTCACTCTAATAATGAGAATGCTGGAGTTCAGGGACCTGGAGTCACATTTTTGATAGACTTCCTGAACAACTAATTGAACTGCCCAAATCCAAGGTCCTAGCCATATAGATTTTCATTATCTGTACCTCTGCTGGGAAGGTGATACAGCAGGACAAAGACCATCCAATAAGATACTATAATAAGTTACTGACAGCATTCTAATACATACAATAGAAAAACCAACTTTGAGGCAACCTCTTCCAGACTGCTTCTGCTGGGTAGAAATAAGCTGATTGAAAATGTAATAGCTGAAGGCAGTTGCAAGAAAGAGGCATTATGAAATAGGCAAATTAAATTCCCCTGAGCAACCAGAGTGTAGGTAGGACAATAAAAGTGGCATTGACTTTTCCTAGTCCAGTCCGGTTTTCTTTTTATTTCTAACATTCAACAAGCTTCTACAGAGTACAATTCTGATACTTTAAACTTCAAAAGGAAGCCAACAAACACTAGTTAAGGGAGTATGCCCCAGAGTGTCAAAAGGTAACTTTTTCTGCCTGAATATGTTTCTTCAGTGCAGGTCTCCTTTGTCCACTCATATTTCTTAAGCACTTTCAACAATGCCTGGCGTGTAGTATGTTCTCAATAAATAAATGTCGAAAGAATAATTACATGAATGTTCTTTATTGTAAGTCTGGTGATATGCAAGTATTGATAAAAATGAATAGAATAAGTGTCAGAAATAGATTATATTAGCTGCTTCTTTTCAAGATTATTTGATGGATTTTTTTCTTTTGGTTTAGAATAATAAATTCAGAGCAATATTAAATATAAAAAGTTAATGTTATTAGAAAATACTCTTATTACAGGTATATTCTCTTATCTTTCATATAACTGCATAGGCCTTGCTGTTTTCCTGAAGAACTTAAAATGTTATTACTGTCTGGTAACATTCATCCAAAGTAAAGAAAAAAGAGGAAATATTAAAGACTATCCCCTATGTCCAAGGTACTTTGCACTTATTACCTTGAAATGCTTACAAAAACTGGATAGCATTTTATAGAATAATTAAGATATAGAAATAGGTGACACTTAGAATTTATATACAAGTGAATCTAATAGCCACTTGTCATTTCTGCTCTTATCACGTTACCAATGCAGTTGAAGAGGTGGGGAGAAAGAAGGCAGGGAGAAAAGAGGGAAGGGGAGGGCCCCAGAGAGGGAGGGAGGGAGGGAGGGGCAGAGAGGGAGAGAGGGAGGGAGAGAGAGAGAGAGAGAGAGAAAGAGAGAGAGAGAGAGAGAGATTGATTGATTGATTGGGGAGAAAAGAAATCTTCCAGTGTGGACTGTGCTGTGCCCAAGCAATTCTACACGTAAAGAAAGGTCTCCATCATCTATACAATCACTGTTATCCATTCTATGATAATTTTAAAGACAAATATTTAAAAAATGTTTCCTTTCATCTATCTGTTATGTAAAATAATGGATAGACTTGAGTATGCAGTCAATGGAGATATGTGGTTCCCTTGCCTTTTTTCATGCAACATGTACAGAAAATGTGTTCTCATTTTAACAAAACAAAATGACAAATGATTAATGTGGGGTAATAACTCAAAACAACCCATAACAACTAGGGAAGTAATGAATTAAATCTCTCAATACCAAATTCTTCCTTAAATTCATCTATCTCAGATCATACAAGTCATATAATTCTATTATTATCATTTTGAGATGGAGTCTTGCTCTGTCGCCCAGGCTGGAGTGCAGTGGCGCGATCTCGGCTCACTGCAAGCTCCGCCTCCCGGATTCATGCCATTCTCCTGCCTCAACCTCCTGAGTAGCTGGGACTACAGGCGCCCGCCGCGACGCCCAGCTAATTTTTTGTATTTTTTAAGTAGAGACGGGGTTTTACCGTGTTAGCCAGGATGGTGTCGATCTCCTGACCTCGTGATCTATCCGCCTTGGCCTCCAAAAGTGCTGGGATTCACAGGCGTGAGCAACTGCGCCCGGCCAATTCTCTTATTTTTAATTCTGCAAACATCTACGAAGTATTTAATGAGAGTTGGGCTCTCAATTTTCAGGCATTGAATGGTGAATGGTCAGAGTATCATTGTCTTTTATTTTTGTTTCCATTTCTCTACCAATAGATATATACAAAAGTAAAAGTGCTAGAAGCCCAGTTTGAGTAAATTATTTGTTTGATGCAATTAGAAGAATGTAACCAGTTAATATATTCTGTAGAAATAGCTCTCAATTATTGTTATTTAATACCAATAGCTATCAATTAATGGAATGCATCATGTGCTAGGCAATATACAAAGTAATTTACATACATTAATTTTACAGGAGTCTCATGATTTTATATATATATATATATATATATATATAATGTTTTTCCTCATTTTATTAATGAAGAGTCTTAGAGACTTGGAAATATACACAGGATCACACAGCTAATAAATGCAGAAGTGCTATTTTAAAGAGGTTCACTGTCTCCAAAGCCCATTCTCTTCTAGGAGGTCACAAGGACATTAAAAAAGTTCTTTAAAGGCAGTTCCTTCATCATAAACTGAACCTTCTCTAAAGCCCTAATAGTTCATATATCTTAGGTTTCTTTAAAGTCAGTATTTTTAAATAATAACTATTTTATGTTCTTTCCCTTTGAACTCTTTCCAATTTCCAAAACCTTGCTTTCAACAGTGGTCCTAAATCTGGGCCTTGATTTGCAGGGGCAGGCTCCATGTCATTGTCACAGGCACTGTTAAGCACAAAATAGATATATGTCTTTCTCGTATTCAGATTACATTTATTTATTACCATGTTTTTCTTCTATGTATCATTTGTCATTGAACTTTCATATATAAAATAGTTATTTCCACCTTGATTGTTCTACAAGGCAGTCTTCCTTGCTAAGCTTAATTCTATTCATATATGGTAATTTTTTCAAACTGGTGAATGCACAGCCATGGCAATTCAAACAGAGACCAAATAGTTGGGGACTACTTAAGCAAGCTTAATGGTTGTAGGTCAGTTGAAAAACCATCCACCTGAGAGTGCTAAAGAACTGGGAGATGAACTTTCACAGCCATTACTATTTTATAGATAAGCACTTATGGGAGAGTACTTGAATTTTAGATGACTAGAAAAGACTCCTTCTTACCAATTTGTAGAAGGCACATAAAAAAGTACTTGGGAATTACAAGCTAGTGACCTACCTATAATACCCAAAAAGGTATTATGGTGATACATTAAAAAAATAAATTCACAGTATACTGTGAATATTATTGTATACCATTATACAATAATATTAATATATAATAATGCTAAACTATATAATAGTATAGTATACTATGAATAAATAGGAGGCTGAAATTAAAATTAAGGGATTTGGTTTAGGCAGTGGGGTTCATAAGAAAAGGGCAATAGAAAGGGCTAGGGTTGGAGCAATAGTGTAAAGGGTAACAGTAGATGATGAGGGTTTTAGGGTCTCTTTAGTGAAAAGTTTTATTGCATCAGCAAATGGTTGAAATAGTCCATAGGGGCCTAAAATATTGGATCCTTTGCATAGTTGTATGTAGCCTAGAATTTTTCATTCAATGAGTGTAGGGAATGTTACGGCAGCCAGAGTAGATATAAGTAGTAGGAGGTTGATTATAGGCATGTTGTTAAGAAGATTCATTGAACCTCTGATTATAAAGTTTTACATTTTATGCAATTACCGGGCTTCTGCCACCTTAACAAACCCTACTTTTGGGTAAGATATGAGGTGATTTGTTAGCTTAAGATAATATCATCTATAGGGCGAGGGCGCTTTATGAAGTGGGCCCTGTTTCTCTCGTCCTTTCATACTGGGAGAAAAATAAAATAGATAGAAACTGACCTGGATTGCTCCGGTCTGAACTCAGATCATGTAGGACTTTAATCATTGAACAAACAAACCCTTGATAGCAGCTACACCATTAGGATGTCCTGATCCAACATCGAGGTTGTAAACCCTATTGTCAATATGGACTCTAGAATAGGATTGCGCTGTTATCCTAGGGTAACTTATTCTGTTGATCAAATTATTGGGTCAGTATATGTATAATAATTTGCTTAAACTGGTTTAGTCTTAGCATAGGTTGCTCAGAGGTTAGATTATGCCCCGAGGTCGCCCTAACCAAAAATTTTAATGCAGGGTTTCCATGTAGATTAACAATATTGCAGTGTTACCTAGGAGGAAACATGGAATTGTCAGAAATCATATGCCAAAAGTCTAATTTTTGATTTGATAGTGCTATATAATTGAGGCAAGAAAATATGTCCTGGCTTTATTAAAGAGGGCTTTTTTTATTCTTTATATGGTATTTCCTAATATATTTATTGACAAACTTGTTTCATTTGTCGGTGGAAATGTTAACATCACACATCGTAGATAGAACACTTTTAAAACAAATAAAAGTTCTTCCTTATCATCGTGGCTAAACATTTGAATTATTCAACTGCTTTGAGTTACCTAGATTTTCCTGTGGTCTATAATTCATTTCTAACCATTGCCAATACAAACACAATATTGGAGAGCTTAACACTATGAGTACTTTGTCTCATTTTAAAATTTTTATTATATTAGCATCATTTTGCTTAAACATGTCACTTGTATACACAATACAAGTTAACATATTTGCAGTGATTAAAATTGAAAACTTTGGAGTGAAAGTGCTTGGATAATCATACCAAGGGTTAGTAGAGTTCTAGGAACGATTTAAGGGCTAAAAAATATTAGGTTTTTATTATGCATTAGACACAAAGCTAAAAAGTACTACGAATTATCTCATTTAATTCTCACAACAACCCTATGAGATTATCTTCATTTCATAGATGAGAAAGTCTACGATAAGGAAGGTTAATTCACCTCCCCAAGGTTAAATCTGGTAAATGTTAAAGCATTTACACACAGTAAGGTTGCTCACTACTGATTTTATTTTGTTCAACCCTTCTATCTGTAATGTATGTGTCTTTTTTTTTTTTTTTTTGAGATGGAGTCTCGCTCTGTCGCCCAGGCTGGAGTGCAGTGGCACAGTCTCTGCTCACTGCAAGCTCCACCTCCCGGGTTCACGCCATTCTCCTGCCTCTCAGCCTCCCGCGTAGCTGGGACTACAGGCGCCTGCCACCTCGCCCGGCTAATTTTTTGTATTTGTAGCAGAGACGGGGTTTCACTGTGTTAACAAGGATGGTCTCCATCTCCTGACCTCGTGATTCACCCACCTCGGTCTCCCAAAGTGCTGGGATTACAGGCGTGAGCCACCGCGCCCAGCCTGAAATGTATGTTTTTGTTAACTATACTATGAAATTCAAATGATGCCTCATCCGCATCCATAAAATATTCCTTAAACCCGTGTCTTCCCTGGTCTAGACTTCCATATTTGTACCTAGTAGGTGCTTACTCATTTTGAGTAAATTAATGAATAAGTGAACAAGTGGAAATAAATTAACGGAAAAACTAAGGGAAAGGAGAATTAGGTTTTAAAATGCCTACTATGCACATTTCCCCCTATGATTTAGGCAATCTTCTCAAGACAAATCTCTTGTGTCCATTGTACCCCTAGGATAGTCTTAGAATATATGAGATATTTTAGGTGTCTGGTAGTAGAAGTTTCAGCATGGTTAAAGATGAGAATTGTGAGCAATCAATGATACCAATGTTTCTCAACCTATGACCTAGCCAAATGACAAGGAGAGACCTATGAATGCATACATTGGGTTGCTTCAATATATCGTTATCAAAGGAGAGTGTATAAAAATTGTGAGAAAATAACAGACCAGAATATTTCCTGAGACAGACCACTTTCCCAAGACTTGTCTGTTGAGAGGAAAACTCCTAACCCAGCTGAGTTTCGATTTGTGGATGCTTCAAGTATTTTTTTCCATGTATTATTTTTTACACTAAAAGACCTGATAGTCACCAAAAACCTCAGGTCCTGGCTTATTACCAACAGAAAACTTGTTGAAAAATTAAGTAATTTTGCTTTATCTTAAAGTACACATTAAAGACATCTATATTTTAATAGATACATTTACATTGTGTTTGATTATATTTACAAGTATACTTAACAAAATCATGTGTGTATTCATATAACACAGATTTTTGTAAATCAGATCTAAAAGGGCTTTTATTAATCCAAAAATAACAGAATTTTATAAATCTGAGAAGATAATATGGCAATATAATAATGAGGGTCTTCCAGGACTTACAGAAGAAAGAGAACACTGAAGACAGAAGTCATTGTCTTATAAAACATATATAAAGATGAGTAGAGGTTTCTTAGCCATGCATGCTTCTACAGATAAAATAGATAAAAATTGTGCTTGATTTTGTGCTCATGTTATTCAGCTATACAACAGCAACGAAAATTATTTTCAAAACAAGAGAAGTTTACTAATGAAAGCATCTAACTCTATAGTAAAAAATTGTGGTCAGTGATAAAGCCTCCCTTTGAGAAATATCTGCCATTTAATGATCATTACTCTGTCCTATTTTTCAAATGTACCTCATTTAATCACATCTGAGCAGTAGAGACTTAGAGAGGTTACAACAGGCATGCCAAACATCATTCAGCTATTTAAATGGCAGATGCAAGACTAATAGGCCTATCTGTCCTCAAAATTGAGCTTTTAACTGCCCTTTTGCACTCACTAGGGAAATGTACTGGAATATTTAAAATTAATATCATTATAGCATTATCAGTTTATTTCCTTTCCCAGTGAGAAATGAATCCAACTGGCCAGTCTGATCCAGCAACTCACCCAACATCCTTCAAGCTAAATAACTTAGAGCAAAGAATACACAGAAATTGGTTTCAACAGTTTGGCAGTATTAATGTAGCTGATAACTATTTTTTAGATAGAACATTTTGGAATGTCTAATAACCATGAAATTACTGTTTTTTTTCTTATTTATAAAGTGCTTTGAGGCTATAATAAAACAGTAATAGAAAAGAAAAATAGTGAATTTCAGTTGTGCAAAATAAGAAAACAACTGGTTGAGAAGAAAAAAATATCAGGGTCCGAATGAACCACAAAATATGTGTTGTCAGTACTGAATGAGCAATTTTATGATATTAAGTTTTTCTATATTCTGTACGTAGTTTTTGTTAATGCAATTTTGCGTCGGGACAATATTCACTTTTTGTCTTTTAATAGATACACATGGCTTATGATGAATATAAGAAACACTTCTCTTTTTAATCATATTTTAGCAATTTCTACATTTTCACTTGCCACTTCAGAGACATTTTAAAATAGGCAATTGTCTTATTTTTAAAATAATATATTTATGAATTATTTCAAAGAAGCTTCTTTGTATTTCTACTTTTCCATTCTTTTTTTTTTAAAGGCAAGATCAGCTTCTATATCAGAAATACTAAAATAAGATGGACATTTCTAAAAGTATAAAAATTAGATTAGAAATCCATAAAGAGCATATATTATATACAGTTAAGTCATAATATGACCCTCCAGCTATATTATAATCCAGTAGTTTATTTACTATTTTTATTAATTTTTTTCTTATTTTCTAGTGGGTTATTAATAGTGACATGTCAGTGACTGAAACAGGTAACATCATTACCCCCATTTTAGGTAGGGCAGACAGAAAGAGAGAGAGATTATAAACACTTTTACAACAAATAAGTTTTCCATTCAGATCAAGAGAGCTGCTTTAGTGGACTTTACTTCTTTACCATTTCTGTGAAAATGATAATATGTGATTATGAACAGAACCTAAACCATTGCTGAAATCAGAACATTAATTTCATTTATTATGGCACTCGTTACTCTGCTTGTCACATATGCCAAGCCAAGGATCTTAGGCAGCATTTAGACAGAAAGACAACCAAACTAAGCAAAGTCACACAGTTGTTATCTCTGTCGTGCACAATAGCTCCAACTTCAGGAAGCTGAGGTTTGTTACTATGCATTTCTTTACACAGTAACTTTTTTCAGAATGAGTTGATGTATTTAATTGATGTTGTACAACTCCTTATCAAAAATTAAAATGGCAAACAACAAAAAAAGACTCAACTACCTACCTCTGTTTTAATTTTTCCAATATTTTTTCACCTTAGACTTCTCTCATGCTATCTCAGTTTATATTTTAATTTCTTCCTGATACACTCCATTGATGGTTTTGTTTCAAATGGTGCAACCTGACCTCATCATCCTTCAACCCAACCTGTCTCTGACTTCTCTATATCAATTAAGAGTGTGCTGTTTCCCAGATACCTATACTCACAATTCGCATTATTTTACTTAGTCTTTTTTTCTATTTTTTTGCCTTTCCAAATTGTAAGACTATCCTTACCTATGGCTATTTGTATTGACTTTTCTGTCAAAAAAGCTCACATATATCCCTTTATCTCACGGGCACTACCACAACATAGGCTGATATTACTACAAAAGACTCCCAGTTAGTATTTGGACCCTGTTGCTTTGGTCATGCCAGTTATCTCTTCTTAATTTTCCCTGGCCCCTAAAGGGTAAAATTCAAACTACATAGTTTGCTGTGCAGAGTCTTTTGCAATTAAGAATCAAAACCAATTCTTGTTATAACCCTACTCAATTTTCTACTCAAACCCTTAGCTTGAATAAATGTGTTAGGTGTTTAGTGTTAACCCCTTGTACTTTTGTACATTGGACTTTTGCTTGTATGAAGGTATCATCAGGAACAGCCTCCGCTTCATTTCCTCTGTTATGTAAGGGGTTTTGCAAACTCCACCTACTCCAAAAAGCCTTCCATGGTCATTAAGACAACAAGACATTTACTCTTAGCCAAGATATAAGCAGCCAGGATCAGAAACAGGAAAAGTAAAGTTCAGTGGAAGACAAAGCTGAAAATAAACTGGCAAGGAGGATATATGTGTTATAAACAAATATTTAAAAGCTTGCTCATTTAAGGCTCATGCCACTGTAAGCGTTCAAATGTAGGAAGTGCACACAAACACTAAAATTCATTTCACAAGGGTCATTGAGAGAAAGGTACAAGGCTTTAGAGAAAATGAATATTCCATGTGCTGCTGAATCAGCTATATGAAATTCCTTGTTCATGTTTAGAAGTGTGGAGTCTATTAGAAGAATGTCAAATAAAATCAAAGATTTTTTATTGTTGTACCCTGCTGCAAGGTAACAAGAGGCTCAGCTTCACAGTAGTAGAATATCCTATCATCTATTATGACACACACATTAATGTCTCTTTCAATTACAGGTCTAAACTCTTACTTAATTTTGGAAATATTTTTTCACTCTTAAATCATACCCCTCTCTACAGCCTTTCTAATCTAAAGTGTCATTGCAAATGGGTAGATTAGATTTATTGTAATTAGTGTTCTGCGGTTGTTCACAGCAATATGGATATACGATTCTGGCTCAAATTTGGGTGACTTTAGCATGAATATAGTTTGGTTGGGATAAAAGATTTTTGTCTTTCTTCAAAAACTCAGGCAACTATATATTTACTAAGTCAATTATATGTAATTACAGTAAATTATCTGGGAGTTAACAAATAAAAGGAAAATTAACTCCTGTCAAAATTAAAATAGAAATATTTGGGAGCAAGATTTGATGAAAATTTATGTATACAGCATTAAGCCTATTTAAGCAATGATATATATTCGCGTTTTACCCTTCAACATATTAACATGTGAATATCTGATTTATGCTTATTTAAAATAGTCTGAACAGATTAGAAAGCACAAATAATGCTCTGTGTCTTATTATTCCCCATATTATGCTCCAAGGCTCTGAAATAAGTTGAAACTAGGGCAGTATCTGGTGTCCTTATCTTAGACTGTAATGGGGTTTATATCAAGAGAAGAAAAGGAAAATTGATTTCTTTAAAAGACGGAAAGAAATCCACTTTAAAATCTATGTTAAATTTTATGTACTTTTTCCTGAACATATACTATAAATTAACTAACAAGTCTTAGAACTAATAACAAAAACAGTATTATTTAGTGAAGCATATGTATTTCATTTAGGCTAGGACCTGCCCCATCATGTCTGAATTTTTATCTGTGCAAGATATAGATTTCAAATAAAAAATAAATTGTTTAATATATCGTACACTAAATCATCTGAAAAGTAAGGCTTATCAAACTTACAGGGTATGATTTCAGATTTTTTTGATTCGTATTTTTTTAATTCACGAACTATTTGAGACATCTGTCCTTCTGGGTAAATGGCAGGATAATAGCAAGCCAGTTCCCCTAATGTAATATTTTACGTGAAAGAAAAGTAAGCTAGTGGCACTGGTCATTTCCAATGAACATAGGAAAAGAGGAGATTACAAAACAAAAAGTAATAGATACAGTATAGACAATGGCAGTATGCTATCCAAATCTAAGATATTAGCATTTGTTCCTCAGATGCTACTTTATCTTTTATTTTTTTTTCACATTATCACACACTAAATCTCCCATAACTAGTTCATTGAGTTAAGTTAAATTTTGGAACTCTTTACAGTTGTTCTGGTAAATTTGCAAGCATTGTAAAAATTATTCAGATAAAATATGAATTTCTTTCATTTTCATTCTGGTAAGGAATGAATAGTTTTCTTACGGTTTACGGTATCATTGTATTCCTTTTGTTGTGTTTCTATTTTACTGCAATAAGAAAGAATAAGAAGAATAAAAAGAGGAGATATAAAAAAAACTAAAATTAAATGAGTTCTCTAAATCTTATTTTTAAATTTTAAAATTTAAAATATCTGGCCAGGCACGGTGGCTTACACCTGTAATCCAAGCACTTTGGGAGGCTGAGGCAGGTGTGTCGCTTAAGCCCAGGAGTTCGAGACCAGACGGGGCAATATAGTGAAACCCTGTCTCTACAAAAATATAAAAATTAGCTAGGTGTGGTAGTGTGCACCTGTATTCCCAGCTACTAGGAAGGCTAAGGTGGGAGGATCACTTGAGTCCGGGAAGTAGGGGTTGCAGTGAGCCGAGATTGCACCACTGCACTCCAGCCTGGGTGACAGAGTGAGACTCCATCCCAAAAAACAAAACAAAATGAAATCTGATAAAATGACTAGAATGCAGAGTATCAAAGCATTTAGTCAGCTATATTAAGCATTAGGTCTGATTATTTGGTAAATTATAAACATTAGGTGATTTACTGAATGTTTGACAGACGTGAGAGACTTTGCTGGAAATTCCAGCATCACTGAAATACATCTGAGGAACCTCACTTCTGAATTAAGAAAGTAGCCAATTAAAATAAGATATGCACAAGTTTCACATATTTTGGTAACTATTTGAATTTATGAACAGGACTGTACCAGTTCCAAAGCAAGATGTCAACTTGTGCTTATGTTTACATTTATGAGAAAAAGTCAGATTAATAAGACATACACAGAGCAAAATTGAAAATAATGAAACTAATTATCAAACCACCCTTCAAAAAATTTACAAAAGTAATACTCCACTTATAATCTGAATATATGTGATCTCAACAGAAATGAAAATTATAGGGTTGAGGACACAGACTGGAGAGGCAGCCCACCAGGGTCCAGTCTCAGTTCTGCTAATTGTTTAGCCCTGTAGCGCTGAACACAGATGGAAGGACAAAACTTTAGTCTTCCAGATAGTTCTGGTGGATGTGGCTCTAGGTGGCTTTCTCCCATCTTCCTTTTGGAGCTTGGTAGGGAGCAGGCTCAGGAGACCTCAATTAGCTCCCTGGAAGAGCTGCAGTGTTCCTTTACCTTCTTTCCTAATTTCCTCTTGTCATGTCCCTTTTCTAACAAGGCCATTTTCACAAGCACAAGGATTCCAACCAGGTGCTTCCTGCTCCTTTCCCAATCCGATAATAAATGCAAAGTGGCCTTTCTTCTTCAGTCTAGCTTTGTCCAGCTTAGCATTTTACACTTTTCGAGTTTTAAGATAGCACATTTGTATGTTGCTGTTTTGTATGCTTGTATTCTTTCATCCCCTTCACTATCTCCTCCCCACACAAATCCTCAATCTGTCAAAAGGATAGTCCACATCTGCTGCTTCAAAGGCCTTACCTCTCCCTTATTTCTTAACCCCTAAATTCTGGTTATTATCACAACTCTCTGTTAAAAAAATATTTTCACACAGGTTAGCAATGTCCTTATAACGTGTAATATCATATATTTTCTTATCTTCTCATACATTTTAATCTATCCTATATAACTGCTTTACTTAACAGAGTATTTTAACATAGTAAGCATTTAATAACTATAATTTAAGTTCCATGAAATTGATTTGAAAAATATGTTAAGCACCATTTTCTCTCTTCTTGTGAGTCTGTTAGGGTCCAGCAGGGCCCGGCTATAAATCCTGAGTTTTAGATGTAATTCCACTCAATTTGTAACTTCAGTCCCTAAATGTCTGTGAGTCTCAGTATTCTCTAACTTAAGATGGGAATATAGTCATTTCCTGTTCATCTCACAGTACTGTGTTAAAGATTAAATGAGTGAATGGTAAAATTTGTGACAAACTGCAAAGCAGTAACAAGTTATTACGTGAGAAAATATTTTTGTTCAAACATTATTTTTAGTATGTAAACCATTTCCCAACAAAGTGGAAAACTGGAAAAACAGATGCAAAACTGCACAAATGAAATGTATATATAGAGTGCATGAGAATATTTATGTCTACAGGATTTTTAATTTAGAAATCACTACAGTTCTAAGATTCGGGGTAACAGTTAAGAAATTTTATAAATTTTATTTTCAAGTTGATTTATAAAATCAAGAACGACAGAAATATAAATCAGGAAAGGTCACTGGATGAAATTCTCTACATTCACATTTGAGATTACTAGAACGTTGTTTCCATTTTGAAGTCTATTAAAAATTATATAAGCATAAAGGGGGAAAGATTTAAATTTAGAAAAAGAAGGAACTGCATTACTATAGATTTTTAAATATAATATATTGTATATATTTCTACACCACATTCTGCATTTCTTTCTTTTCTTTTCTTTTTTTTTTTTTGAGACAGTTTCGCTCTATCGCCCAGGCTGGAATACAATGGCATGATCTCAGCTCACTGCCACCTCTGCCCCCAGGACTCAAGATATTCTCTTGCCCCAGCCTCCCGAGTAGCTAGGATTACAGGCATGCACCACCATGCCTGGCTAATTTTTGTATTTTTAGTAGAGATGGGGTTTCGCCATGTTGGCCAGGCTGGTCTGGAACTCCTGACCTCAAGTGATTCACCCACCTCTGCCTCCCAAAGTGCTGGGATTACAGGTGTGAGCCACTGTGTCTGGCAACATTCTGCATTTCTATATGCTTGGCCACACAGTCTAGTTCTAAAATACCAAAATTCCATCTTCCAATTTCTCTCACCACTTTACCCCAAATATACTGTAAACATTACAATATCAAAGCATTCCCAATACTGGTTTAAAACTGTAGTAACATATTAAAAAATCTAAGTTACTATATTTTGACTAAGGCTTTAAAAAAGCATGGAAAAAGCTATATTATTAAGTATACTTAGATGGATCTTAAAGTGCAAAGTGATTCTGATAAGTTAATAAATGATACAGAGGATATAAATATCTATTTTAAACATAAGAGCATTTAATTTCCCATAATCCTTACTTGAAAGAACATTATGGCTATTCTGTGAAATGGACTATATAAAAGATAAAATATATTTTATAATGCCTAATTTTTTGATAACAAAGTAAGACATATATTAAAATGACAAGGTGCTACAGTGTAGTACTTGTAGCAGAAATATTCCAAAGCCCAACAAAATAGAACTTAAACAGAAGTCATTCCTTACACTCAAATCCTTGAAACTCATTTGTCTAATTTGTTTCTTACATGTTGTTAGTTTTTAACTTCACTGGGAGAAACAGGAATCTTAATTTCAATAGCTTAATTTTGCTTCAAAAATGTTGGTAGGGGGCTCTAATATATTAAAATTGGAATAGTAACCAGTATTTACAAGTTAAAAGAAATTTTGGGTGGCTTTTTGTCTCTAAGTTATTTTCATTATAATAAAATGAAGCAACAGTTCTTTTCCCATCTCACAAAAGATTTTAAACTATTAAAACAGAGAATCAGTATTTCCATAAAATTCTATATAATAAATGTGTTTGTTGAGGAACAAATACTATTTGCCTCAAAATATAATGGTTATAAAAACCCTATAAGTACATGAGGGTGGTAAACTCAGGAACCTTGGAAAGTGATACTTTTATAGCAATAATGACTCTGGCATTGGTATGTGTGATGATGGGAACCAAAAACAGCTTAGAATAAAAAGTTTCCCAGGATGACTGCCGTTTTCCAAACATGGTCTTGTTCTGCAAAACACATTTATGTGGATTATTAAAGTAAGATTTTGGGCCCCAGCCCAGAGATTTTGAAATATTACATTTACTTTAATATGTCAGTGTATCCTCTTTGAAATATATTGATACAGGGCAAAGAGAGTATCAGTGATTACTGGATACCGCACAATGAGCAAAACCACTTAGCTCTGCTTGCATACATCTGACCAATGCCATCGCTCCCTTCAGATTCCATCCCATGGCTTTTGCTCCTTAAGTTTAGGGACAGTCAAGTCTCCCACTGTGCTGGCCCTAAGGTTCCCCTTGCCCACTAATGTGTAAACAGTCCCTTCATTCAATTCTCATTGATTATCTGCTTGTGTTATTTGTTTCCTCTGGAGTCTCTTCATAATAAAGTAGCAAAAGCCTGCAAAGTTACATATAAAGAAATGTATGAAAAGGTTCAGCAAAGTACCATAATTTTTGGATACGATATAAAATATAAAATAAAAATATCCTGTAAAAACTTTAAGTAAAATATCATTTCTTCTCAGTACCAATTAATCAGACCTTAGAAGAATAAGGAGGGGATATGGTTGATAGTTCACTTTGCTGACACTAATTATCTCCACCCTAATGGGAAGAAATAATGAAGACTAGTTCCTTCAGGCAGAAGAGAATAAGGCCAGGTGATAATTTAGAGTCCAATGATTTGGAAATTATTTGAAAATTTTTGGAATGTATTTTGCTCTCTTTTCATCATTCTAAACTAACTCTCCTTCCAACTATTTTTGTTTCCAGACAAGGCTGAAAACACAATAAAAATAAAAATAAGCTATGTATTAGCTCCATGATTTGGAAGAATATGACTAAATCAACAAACTAAGGTTTTTGGTTGGTTTTTTTTTTAATTGAATAAAGCCAGTTAAGAACATGTTAAAATGAGGGTACTAAGAAATATAAATTCATTTTTATTGAATTTCTCATGGGGTGTATAGCTTAATACAGTAAAGTGCCTCAGTTTTCAGGATATAGATCACTGAATTTTTATATACAGGTATAATTTGTTTGATTGCACTTTGCTTTATTGCATGCCACGGATATTGTTTTTTGCAAACTAAATGTGGTGGCAACCCTGCGTCAAGCAAATCTATTGGCACCATTTTTCCAACAGTGTGTGATCACTTCATGACTGTGTCACATTTTGGTAACTCTTGAGATATTTCCAAATTTTTACTGCTTTATATCTGTTATGGTGATCTGTGTTCAGTGATCTTGATGTTACTACTGTAATTGTTTTAGGGCAACTTGGACGACACTCATATAAGACAGCAAACTTAGACAATAAATGTTGTTTGTGTCCTGACAGCTCCACTTACCAACTGTTCCCATGTCTCTCTCCCTCTCCTCAGACTTCTCTATCACTTAGGACACAACAGTATGGAAACTAGGCCAATTGATAAGCCTACAACGGCCTCTAAGTGTTCAACTGAAGAGTCATATACTTTTTTTCTTTTTTTTTTTTAAACTTTCAGTTGAAAGCTAGAAATGATTGAGCTTAGAAAGGAAGTCATGTTGAAATCAGAGAGAGGCCAAAACTAGGCCTCAGGTGCCCATTAAGCATGCTGTGAATGCAAAGGAAAAGCTTAAAAAAATTTTTTTAAGGGTGACTCCAGTAAACATATGAATAGTAAGAAAGTAAAAGGGCCTTATGGCTGATGTAGAGAAAGTTTCAGTGATCTGGAACATCACTGAAGATCAAACCAGTTACAACAGTCCCTTAAGCCAAAGCCTAATCCAGAGTAAGGCCCTAACTCTCTTCAATTACGTGAAGGCTGAGTGAGGTAAGGAAGCTACAGAAGAAAAGTTGGAAGCTAACAGAGGTTGGTTCATGAAGTTTAGCCAAAGAAGCTATCTCCATAAAATGAAGGTACAAGGTGAAACAGCACATGCTCCTGTAGAAGCTGCAGCAAGTTATCTGTATAGAACAACCACCCCCAATATTTTTGGCACCAGGGACTGGTTTCCTGGAAGACAATGTTTCTAAAGATGGGGGTGGGGGTGGTTTCGAAATGAAACTGTTTTACCTCTGATCATCATGAATTAGTTGGATTCTCATAAGGAGTGCTTAACCTAGCTCCTTTGCATGTGCAGTTCACACAACAGGATTCAAACTTTTATGAGAATCTAATGACGCTGCTGATGTGACAGGAGGCTGGGCTCAGATGGTAATGCTTGCTCGCAAGTCACCTTCTGCTGTGTGGTCGAGTTCCTAACTGGCCCCGTGGTTGGGGACCCCTGATTTAGAAGAGCTAGCTAAGATCATAGATGAAGGTGGCTACATTAAATAACAGATTCTAAATGTAGATAAAACAGCCTTATATTGGAAGAAGACGCCATCTAGGACTTCCATAGCTAGAGAGGAGAAGTCAGTGCCTGGCTTCAAAGGACAGGCTCACTTCCTTTTTAGGGGGAAACATAAATTTAAGTTGGTGTCAAAGCTCATTTACCATTTTGAAAATCCTAGCTCTTAAGAATTATGCTAAATCTATTTTGCCTATAAATGGAACAAAGCCTGGATGACAGCACATCTATTTTCACCAATGGTTTATTAAATATTTTAGGCCCACTGTTGAGATGTAGTGCTCATACAACAAAATATTAGTGCTCATTGATACTGGTCTTGATCACCCTAGAACTCTTATAGAGACGTACAAGATTTGTAAATCTCCTTGTTTGTGTACTTTTTAACACAACACCCATTCTGCAGCCCATGAATCAAAAGAGTAATTTCAACTTTCAAGTCTTATTATGTAATAAATACACTTTGTAAGGCTATAACTGCCATAAATGGTGATTTCTTTGATAGACCTTGGCAAAATACACTGGAAACCTTCTAGAAAGATTTCACCATTCTAGATACCATTAAGAACGTTAACAGTTCATGGGAAGAGGTCAAAATATCAACATTAAAAGAAGTTTGGAGGAAGTTTATTCCAATCCACATGGATGACTTTGGGAGGCTTAAGACTTCAGTGTAGGAAGTAACTGCAGATGTGGTGGAAACAGCAAGAGAAGTAAAATTAGAAGTGAACCCTAAAGATGTGACTGAGTAGGTTGGTGCAGAATTGTGATTTTTGCCACTACATTCAGTGACAAAAAAAGGAAACAATGGTTTCTTGATGTGGAATCTATTTTTGGTAAAGATGTTGGGAATACTGTTTAAATGACAACAAAGAATTTAGAATATTCCATAAATGTAGTTGATACAGCAGCTGCAGAGTTTAAGGACTGTAATTTTGAAAGGTTTACTGTGGGTAAAGTTCCATCAGACAGCATTATACGCTACAGAGAAATCTTTTGTGAAAGAAGAGTTGGCCGGGCGTGGTGGCTCACACCTGTAATCCCAGCACTTTGGGAGGTTGAGGAGGGCAGATCACCTGAGGTCGGGAGTTCGAGACCAGCCTGGCCAAAATAGTGAAACCCTGTTACTACTAAAAAAATCAAAATTAGCTGGGCGTGGTGGCAGGCACCTGTCATCTCAGCTACTCAGGAGGCTGAGGCAGGAGAAGCGCTTGAACCCAGGAGGTGGAGGTTGCAGTGAGCCAACATGGCACCACTGTGCTCCAGCCTGGGCAACGAGAGCGAAACTCCATCCCAAAAAAAAAAAAAAAAAAAAAAAAAAAAAGAAGAAGAAGGGTCAACCAATGTGGCAAACATCATGGCTATCTCATTTTTAAAAATGGCCACAGCATCCCCAACCTTCAGCAACCACCACTGTGATCAGTCAGCAGCCATCAACATCGAGGCATGACCCTCCATCAGCAAAAAGATTCTGACTTACTGAAAGTTCACATGATCATTAGCCTTTTTTTAGCAAAAAGGTTTTATTTTTTTGAGAGGGAGTCTTGCTTTGTCGCCCAGGCTGGAGTGCAGTGGTGCAATCTTGGCTCACTGCAAGCTCCGCCTCCTGGGTTCAAGTGATTCTTCTGCCTCAGCCTCCTGAGTAGCTGCGATTATAGGCGCGGGCCACAACGCCCAGCTAATTTTTTGTATTTTTAGTAGAGATGGGGTTTCACCGTGTTAGCCAGGATGGTCTCGATCTCCTCACCTCATGATCCGCCCACCTCGGCCTCCCCAAGTGCTGGGATTACAGGCTTGAGCCACCATGCCCGGCCCCAATAAGGTATTTTTAAATAATATATCTACATTTTATTTGGACACAATGCTAGTGCACACTTAATAGACTACAGTATCACATAAACATAAGTGTTATTTTCACTTGGAAGCTAAAAACAGTGTGTGAATTGCTTTATTGCAATAGTTACTTTATTGTGGTGGTATGGAATCAAATCTTCAATATTTCCAATCTATATATCTACATATATATACAGGTTATCTGTGTATATATATTTCTGGTAAGAATTATAGTCAACAGTATCTTCATTGAGTTGGTGTGCTTCAAAAAGAGCAGGTTTGCACAAGAAATGACTAGAAGAGCAATTGCAAGTACACGGGCCTCTTTCCTGAAAAAAAAAAAAAATCAAAAAAATCCGTATCTTGTGAAAAATCAATGAATGTTTGGTTCAATTTTGCTTAAATCTCAAAAGGCATGGTAACTCCAGAAAATGGAAGATTTGCAAATGATGCTGTAGTTAATTTATGACTTATTTGAAGTTTGTGAGATATCAGCCTTACATGAAATAAATAAAAGTGGAACAAAATCTAACTTATAATGACAAGACAGAGAAGGAAATTTCAAAAAACATTCAAATAATTTAAAACCTAGCTTAACAGGTTCAAACTTTATAAAATTGCTGAAACACATATTTTTTGAAAAACTCTAGATATTAAACCTGTGATCTACTTTTTAATTTAAAGTAGTTTACTCATTTCTGAATACAAAATGCTTTGACAAGAGGACTTGTCTTTCATATCACAATTAGTATCCCTTAGAAATAACATTGCTAATTTTTTAAATAAATTACTAATTCTTATAAAATAATTTTAAAGAATAAAAATAATATTATCAAATTATTTTGACTTGTATCCAAACTGAGTAGGAACACAAATATTAACAGGTATATTTATCTTAACTTGATGAATGGTTTAGTGAATGATCAGTTGTTTTTACAGCTCTGAGAAAGGTCACTGATTTGAATCCAGCAAGCGTTTTATTAAATTCTCAGAATCCAAGAATTCAACTTAACAAGAACAACGAAACCAAGATTTGTTGTCAAGGCAACACAACCCAAGAGATTGCTTTTGATACATGATAGACCTGACATTTGATAACATTGGAGATATATAAAAATGTCTACTAAGCAAGGATATTTAATTGTAACATCCAAAAAACTAGAAAATTCCCACATAACAGAAATAGCATTTAAAATTTTATTATTATTTATTTTTTGTCATTACCAATTAAGATATATTCCTGAAGGTTGATACCATCTTTAAGTAATACTCATGGTGATGTGCTTTCTCTATGGGGCCAATTTAATTTTAAGTAGTTTGAGGCTTTAAATGCTTGAATTTAAGCAGGAATGAAATTCCCTCCAGCTAACTAAATGGGTTACAATGTTAATCTTACTGTTAATCTTTAAGCAATGAATGAAGGGACTTCATCAAGATGAAAGGAAAACTTTACAGAGAGAGTCATTCAGCTTCTTTTTTCTCCAGAATGTAAATTGATTTTTTTCATACCTATTTAGTTCTAATTATAAGATACCAATGATGCAGCAAGAAGCACTGAAAGTAACGTTAAACTGAGAGTAAAGAAAATGTGATTCAAATTTTCTTAAAATTTTGTGGCATATTGTACAAAATCATACTCACTTTACTGAAGGGGTTGGACTGTTTTGAAAATAGATTAGCATTTTCAAAAATGTGTTGAATAGAGACTATAGTTCCAAGGACTGCCTAAATCAGGATGATAGAACAGGTAGAGAATATAAAGATGAGAGATTCTAAGCTGAGGGAATTCTGCATCCTCACTCCCATCATTCTTTAGGGTTGGCAACATCTTGGATATTAAAATTATATGGTCATATATTTGTATTTATCCACATCATATGAGTGTACTGTCATTTAATAAAATCAGTGAACTCTATGAAAATATGTGCAGATAGTTAAAAATTCATTACTATGAAAGTATTATATCCATTTAAATTTCTAGGCATGTTAACTCATATGAGATTAAGTTTTCTAAAACTTTTGTCTATTTTTTAACTTATCTGTAATATGCCACTTCCCTTTTTCCTGATGAGTTCTCACTCATCTGTCAGGATTCCAGCACAAATGTCACTTCATCCTTCCCTGATTCTTCCAGGAAGTAAACCCCATTTCTCTACTATATTTTTTATTGTAGCATCTTTCACTTGTATTTACCTGTCTCCCTTACCTGGGCACGGGAAATTCCTAAGAGCATCAAGACTATCTTATGCATCTTTACAACTGATTTCTCAATCCCTCTCCTCTCTAGCTACTATACAGTTCAGAACAATGTTTTCACAGAGTAGACACATGACAAAAGTAAGTAGAACATTTCTATAATGATAAAATATTTAGATTTGAAAAATTAAATTTTAACAATTATTCATTAATCTATTTAATAGCTGCCTCGAGTAAGATTTAGTAAAATAAATTTACGAGTTAACAAAGGAAATAAGTAAGCATTATATGGTTTATTATTGATATTTCAGTAACTAGATATATAATTGGGTTTAACTACATTCACTTTGAGAGTATTAGTAGTAATTAGAAAGCTGAAGACATTCATGTCAGACACTATCATTCTAAATAAAATACTGCAAGACTTAATATAAATTAGCACAGAAGATAAATCCAAGAACTTTCTTCTGATATGTATTAAAAATATAAAATGCTTGATTCGGGATATTTCATAAGTCTAAAAATCATCTGACAACCACAAACATTATGTTATCCTTATTTCCTTGGCTTCATTATATACGTCACCTGCTTTAGAGTAGATAAAACTGCTTTACAAATACCTTCAGGTAATGTGTGGCAATATACATGTCTTGTTCACAGACATTAGTAGTTAAATCCTGGCTCATAATTTTAACTCTGTTCATGAAAAAGTTTTCTCTAAATACAAATAATTGGAATTACTATCTGCCTGTTTGTAATACAATTTGATCATTGTAATTCACAAATACAGACCCATTAAATTTAAAATAATCCTAACATGATGTTCTTGTTAGGAAAGACAGAACAAGAAATGAGGGGCAGAGGAGAAAGAGAATGTCACATTCTCATTTACAGAAATTTATACTTACTGTAAATAATTGTAGGTATATTGAAGTAATAAAATTACACTGTACAACCTTATTTCCATTATAGTAAAATTATGTTTAACTAATAGTAAAAAAAAATCCAAGAAATCAAATGTGAGTTTTACCTCTATTTTTCCCACTGGCCCCCTGTGTAACCAAGGATAATCACTCTGCACTTTAAGCACTTCAAACATAACCCACCTCTGAAATTAGATATTAAAATTTCATTCCCACACAAAATATTGTACTTTTATATATGATAGTATAAATTACATATGATTGTTTTTCATATTTTTAAAATTTACATAATGGTATTCTACTTTATTTACTTGCTAGTACATCAAATTTTCTAAACCTTTTATATTTATTTTAAAAGAATTTATTTTATCCATTGATTGCATTATACTCTACAAATCTATTTATTTGAGGTAATATTTTTGGCTAAGTTAATCACAGCCTAATTGTGTTTTTGATCATTTTTTAAAGAGAGATATGTTAAAAATCTTCCAGTGATGCAAATTTCTTGATTTCTCCTTATAATCATATCAACATTTGTTCTATATGTTTTAACTATTGCTTCTATATGTATACATATTTAAAAATTAAGAAAGATTATTTTATTATGTAACTGAATTTATTTTTGCTTTAAATGACATTTGTCTTATAATAAAATAGCTAAATTTGTTTTCATGCATTTGTATTTTTCTATCCTTTTATTTTTAATCTTTTTTGTTTTGCTTTGATGTATTTTTTTAATATAAAATAATTTAAATATACAAAAACTAAAGATAACTATATAATGAAATTCATATTCATCATTATTCAAGGATTATAAAAATGTAAGTATATTTTCTTCATCATCCTCATTTTCCTTCTTTTTATATTGCTTTTTTATTCCAGGCAAATTAAATCCTAATGGTAAGGTATTTGTGGAATTAGGCTGCTCAAGTTTGCCAAAAACACCACTTCTCTTGATAATAATGACTTGGTAAATATCTTGATATCTGGTTTCAGATTGTGCACTTCTGTCTAGGCAAAGATGATGCTGATATGCTCATATTTGTTGATTAAAACATTTATTGATAAAGGCATACAAAATTTATACTATTAACTACAATTTTTTTTTTCTGATATGGAGTCTCACTCTTTCACCCAGGCTGGAGTGCAGGGGCGCGATCTCCACTCACTGCAAGCTCCGCCTTCTGGATTCACGAGATTCTCCTGCCTCAGCCTCCCGAGTAGCTGGGACTACAGGCGCCCGCCACCACGCCCAGCTAAGTTTTGGTATTTTTAGTAGAGGCAAGGTTTCACCGTGTTAGCCAGGATGGTCTTGATCCCCTGACCTTGTGATCCGCCCGCCTTGGCCTCCCAAAGTGCTGGGATTACAGGTGTGAGCCACCGCACCTAGCCTATTAACTAGAATATTTTTAAAGGAAGGAAGATGCTGGAGAATGTAACAGAACCAATTTGTTATTTTTCATATCAGTTTTGATGCCTGTGGCTACAAGCATAAGATGCCACAATTAATAGTGGCCTAATCAATGAGATCATTTATTAACTTACTAGTAATTTACCAGATACAGACAGTTTTAAGTTTACTAAATTTTAGTGACATAAGGATGTCCTCAATAACCCAGGTGCCTTCCAAGTTTTCATTCCACCATATGCAACATATCGGCTATTATGTTTATGTTTCCTCCCCAAGGTGAAGAGTGTGTGTGTGTGTGTGTGTGTGTGTGTGTGTGCCCTGCGATTTTAATATCTCATCCACATATGACCAATCCAAAAGCAGAAAAGGCTGATTGCCCCTGGGTGTCTCTTCTCAGAAAGAAATCGTTCACCAATAACAAACAGCAATCTTCCCAGTTTTTTTCCTTGGCTGGGTTTGAATGGTATACTCATGTGTAATCACAAAGATATGAAATGGAAGTATACTTTCAGGCTTAGACCAGTAGTTCTCAAAGCTTACTGTAGATCAAAATCGCATCAAAGGCTTTTTAAAAACACAGATCTCTGGGCTTACCAAATTCCCAGGTGATGGTGCTGTTGCTGGTCTACGGACCATACAGAGAGCCATTGGTTTAGACCAATCAACACTTGCACTTTGGGACTCATAAGAGGGCAGGGCATTTGGGAGGTTAAGAAACCTGAATATTTGGACTCTATTAATAAGAAAGGTGTCTTAGACCTGGCTAAACAAGATTTTGCTATAGTTCCATCTCAAATTCCAGTGAACAATCTTTTAACAAGATTCATGTTGAAGTGATGATCCCTTAAAATGATTCTATCTATATTCATTCTCTATTCCTTTTGCCCTCTTTTAAGTATATTAAAAAAAAAAAGACTCTTTCTCTCTTTCCGTTACCTCCAATGGCCTCAAAGATTTTCTTTATTAATTATTTACTCTCCTTTGAATATGTATGTTCTTTTTTAACCTCTATAAAAGACATCTCCAAGTTTCCTCTCTTTAAATAACCTTTCTTTAATCAACTGAGGTATGTCCTGAAGCTACCTTCTTTTTTTTTCTTCTTAACTGGGAAACGTTTTGAAAACAGAATGCATATGGCTTCCATTTCTTTACCATATACCCTTCATCTTCCACATTCTGAATATACATTTTTAAATCAACAAACCAATGACTCTATTGTTTTTCTCTTTTTCTGTTACTTAATTTTTAGAAAAATTTACAATTGGTAAAATCACTCTTTCTTGTGTACAATTCCGTGGGTTTTTTTAAATTATACTTTAAGTTCTAGGGTACATGTGCACAATGTGCAGGTTTGTTACATATGTATACATGTGCCATGTTGGTGTGCTGCACCCATTAACTCATCATTTAACATTAGGTATATCTCTTAATGCTATCCCTCCCCCTTCTCCCCACCCCACAATAGGCCCCAGTGTGTAATGTTCCCCTTCCTGTGCAGCCATAAAAAATGATGAGTTCATGCCCTTTGTAGGGACGTGGAAGAAGCTAGAAACCATCATTCTCAGCAAACTATCGCAAGGACAAAAAACCAAACACCACATGTTCTCACTCATAGGTGGGAATTGAACAATGAGTTCTATGGGTTTTGAACAGTGCATAGGTTCATGATCCACACCCACAATATTGATAAAGAACAGTTTCATCAATTCAAAAATCACCTTATGCTTTCCCTTTGTCTTCAACAATTACCCTCACCCACAGTCGCTGGCAATCACTGATGTGTTCCCTGTCCCTGTAGTTTTATCTTTTCTATAGCCTCATATAAATCCATATATAGAATATGTAGCTTTTGTAAGCTGCAACCAATCTTAATGTACAGTATCAATAATCCTTTTATTTGAAATTCTTTTTAAAGGTTTCTGTGGTGCTATTCTCTCCTGGATTGTTTCCAATTTCTCTTCATTCTCAAATTTCTTTTATTCTTTAAATATAGGTATTTCTTAAGAAAATTACTTTAATCTTCTTTTTCTTTCTATATTGTTTTCTTAGCAAAATCAGTAACTCTTGACCCTTGGACAGTTACCTTCAGATTTGAGTTCATGCTTTACATTTCCAATCACCTAAGTAATTCTGGCACAGAAATTGCCACCTAAGTATCTCTGGGACAGAAATCTCATTTTTCTTTTGTGATTCTCTTTGTGCTGCAAATGCATATGCCTTGTACACTTGCCATTCCTCATGTCTGGGATTAAACTGTGCATTTTCATTAGTGACTTTACCTAAGGGTTCTCCCTTGTCATGTATTCTTCCATGACTACAGCTCTGACCCTGTGATTATTGTTCTAAAATAACAACGAATCTGTTGTTTTCATTATTCTTTATGCTGTTCATCTACTTAGTTGCCTTTATCAAACTGTTCAAGATTCAGTTTAGTTGCTACTTCTCCCTAAAGCTTCCGCAGCTGATGAAAATTACCCCCTTTCTTTTACTGCTTGTTTTTGGGGGAGACCTCTTTTAAAAATATATCATTTTCTACTTTGTGTTTAAATATTTGTGCACACTTAACATGTGATCACAATTTAATTTTCAGGGCCTAATCCTTGACTAATTTGATTCACATTTGTATTCCTACAGTTCACTGAAGAGTACATTTCTGAATGTACACTTATTAAATGTGTGAATGGTAAAATTAAGTTGTTAGGTTCTTTAATGTAAGTTATAGCTATATATTTAAGGTAAATTTTGGATTCGAATTTGTCTTGTGTCTATTCTTTCATATCGCATCCACCATGGTAAAAAAACTTACACTAAATGATTTCCCTAAAATGCCCTCTGTTTACATTCACAATTTGCTAGACTCATAGCTGCATCCTTCATTATTCTATTACCTTCTAAAACTCCAGTAAAGAGTTCTTCCTGACCTCTTATCATTGGGACTCACCGGTCAGGCCAAACATTAACCCTTTTCCCCTAAGCCAGGAAAGTTGAATTGAGTCACTCACAGAGCTATATAAATATCAAATACAGTGAACCCTCCATCCCTGCAACATACATCTGCTTCTTTGATATGTTTTTTTTTTTCAGTCAATTTAACATCTAGGAAGTTTTAGCACTTGCAATTACGTATCAGAAGAAAGAAATCAATTATATGTCTAAATTTTGCCATTCCAATTTTCTTATTTTCTATTAGTGGTACTAATGACACTAATGACAGACATAGCTGTAAATAACTTCATTATGAGAATATTTTTCCCAAGCTGAATGATGACAGTTTTCACATACTATTCAGACGCAATTAACAGATCTAAATAAATTTGAGTATAAAATGAAAAACAAGTGCTAGTTTATAAAAATGAACCTGTTCAGTTGTGAAAGATGTATATTAATGAAGATACCTTACTTCCTTAACAATATGCTTTTTCAAGAAATCAGGTATTAAAAATAAATAGTTGAGGTGTTAAAAATAGGTTGAATATCAGAGAATAATTATTTATTTTTAGTACCTGATTTCTTGAAATAGGTATAGTGAAAAACATCTGAAAAGTAAGATGGAAGATTTCAGGGTGATAGAAGTAGACAGAGGGTAATGGTTCTGTATGCAGGAAGAAATGGTGACTAAGAAAAAAATGCTGCTCTGCTATTAACAGCAACAAGGAATAGACTTCTAGGAAACAGCAGGGTGTGTCTGATGTGTATTTACAAGCTAGAAAGATGTTCTCTGTGCACAGATTAAAACTGCAAAAAATAAAAGAACTAAAGACAAACAAAAATCCAATAAAACTTAAAAAGACCATACTGGTTGAATCAGTACAACGATTTTAATTTTCAAGGCTTGACCAAAGACTTATGAAAAGAAGGAAATAGATCCTTCCATGGTTTAACAGAGAAGAGTTCTGAAAATAGATGTTTAGGAATTGAAGCTACATTTAAAACTGATCACATTTATTTCTGCTAATATTTAATTAATTTCCAAGGGACACATGTTCTCTACTATAAGATACTGGGAGGATTAAAAAAAAAAAAAAAAGCTATTTGCAGTCGGAGAGATGTCACAAGGTATGCCAACTCTACAAGTTACTCATTTTATGGGATTTGACAAATGATTCTTATTCTATAATCCTCAAGTTTCACTTTTGAAAATATGCCAATAGAAATACACACTTTGTAGTGCATTGATTAGAACTGAATAAAATAGCATGTGAAAATGATATCTAAAGGGCCCAGGAGAGTATCCGATACATAGCAAACGTTTCATAAATGCTTACACTCTCTGATAACTCATTTATTTTTAATACTGTCATCAAAGCATACATTATCAGTATTAGTCCCTGAATCTAAGGTTTTTTTTTTTAAGGTGCTCATCAATTTATTTTAAAAAAAGTAACACCAACTACATGGGATCTTGCAGAGCTAATTCCAAATGCAATAGACGGTGCTACATGACCCACACTAATCTTCTTTCCATACCCAAGTAGCAGACACCAGTGACTAACGTATTGAATTACTTCAGACTTTGAGTGAGATTTCTTGCTTCTACGATAGTAATTTTACCCATTAGGCCTTTAACATACTCCTTAGTCATAAAGTAAAGGTATGTTATTATTCATTTAACTTAAAAAATGTTGGGTGGTTTACTACATGCTATGAATTGTTTTAGACATCAAACAGAGAAAAAATCCTGCCCTTATCGAATTTATAATTGAATATGGGAATACCAATAAATAAAACACAGAAGTAACATAGTATGTGAGATGCTGATAAATATTACTAAGAAAAGTACAGCAGAGAAGGCTGATAGATACGCAGGGGGAGGAAATCGCAATAAAAAATATTCAGTGAAGACCTAATTAAAAAGGTAAAATTTGAATAAAGATCTAAAGAGAGTAGAAAGTAAGCAAATTAGTCATGAAACTCATATTTGAGGGCAAACAGTTATAGGACAGGACATAATGAGTGCAAAGCCCCTAAGGTGGTAAGGTACTTGGTTTATTTGAATAAAATGAGGTCAATGTGGCATGGGTGGAGTGACTAAGGAATGACTGGATTTCATTAAAAGTAGAAAGGGAATCAAATGAATTTTCAGTAGTGAAGGAGCATGATCTGATTTACGTAACATAACTTCCCTGGATGATGTAGGGAAAATAGCCTTTCACCAAGGAAGAAAATAATGAAATCAGGTAGAAAGCTATTAAACAAACAAACAAAAGCTTGCCACCTAGAAAGGAAGTCACTTTGGAACAGGGTAGAAGTGATCTAATCCTGGATAATAGAAAATAGAACCTGTAAATTTTCTTGTACGACTGGATATATCATGAGAGAGAAAGGGAAAATGCCTCCAACATTTTGGCATGATCAATCAGAATGATGGAGTTGTCACCCACTGAGACGGAATGTAATGCAGCAAGAGCAGCTTTTTGTGGTGTTTTATAAAGGAGATCAAGAGTTCAATTTGGGGCATGAATTAGAAAAACTTTTTTCACATGCAAGGAGAAATGAGAAAGAGGCCAGTGGATATACCAGTAATAAGAATTAATACATAGACACAGGGTCATTTTCTTACCACCTAAGAGTTATTAAATTTAACCATTTCAGTAGCAGAATCCTTTTCATAAGGTTCCTGCCAAGTTGTCTTATTCCTCTGATCTTTTGTCTAACTTACTAGCCAAGAACCTACTGAACTATATTATTTTTTAATCTCTTTTTTATGTGGTAAAATACATATAACTTAAAATTTGCTCTTTAATCCATTTCTAAGTGTGCAACATTGTGGAATTAAGTACATTCACACTGTGTGTAATCATCACCACCATCCATCTTCAGAACTGTTCCATCTTCCCCTACTGAAACTGTACACATTAAACATTATTTCCCCAACCTCCTCTCTTCCCAACCCCTGGCAGCCACCAATCTGTTTTGTCTCTATGAATTTGTACACTTTAGGTACCTCATATAAGTAGAAACATATAATATTTGTCTTTCTGTGATTTTTTTTTATTTAGCATAATGTCTTCAAGATTAATTCGTATTTTAGCATGTGTCAGAATTTCCTCACTTTTTAAGCTGGATAATATTGCATTATATGCATATAGCACATTTTGCTTGTCCAGTCATCTGCTGATTGACACTGGGGTTGCTTCCACCTTTTGGTTATTGAGAATAGTGCTGCTCTGAACACAGGTGTATAAGCATCTATTTGAGGCCATGATTTCACTTATTTTGGCTGTATAGCCAGAAGTGAAATTGCTGAATCACATGGTACTTTTTTTTTGAGGAATTGCTTTACTATTAAGAAAATGTAACATCTCATTATACATAAATGTATAATGAAAATTTTGTGAAAAATATGTAGGGAATATGGGGATCTTATCTTACAGAGGACATGGCAATGTCTTGGAGCTTAAATTAAGTCCATGCTCCATATGAATCAACAGTGAACTTCAAGGACATACAAAGAAACAAATAAAACCAACAAATAAAAAAGCCAAGAAACGTACAGAATTTACAGGTTAAAAGAGGCTCAGCCGGGCGTGGTGGCTCATGCCTGTAATCCCAGCACTTTGGGAGGCTGAGGCAGGCAGATCATGAGGTCAGAAGATCGAGACCATCCTGGCTAACACAGTGAAACCCCGTCTTTACTAAAAAATACAACAAATTAGCCGGGCGTTGTGGTGGGCACCTGTAGTCCCAGCTACTCGGGAGGCTGAGGCAGGAGAAGGGCATGAACCCGGGAGGCGGACTTGCAGTGAGCCGAGATAGCGCCACTGCACTCCAGCCTGGGCGACAGAGCGAGACTCTGTCTCAACAACAAAAACAACCACAAAAAAAAAAGGGGGGGGGGGGGGCTTGACACGACAATGCATCATAACATATGAACTGATTTAAATACTGATTCAAACAAAAAACTATTTTAAAAAGTGCTAGTTATATTTATGACAAAATATTGAGTATCGAACTCGCCCCTCTTCCATGAATAATTAGGAAAATGGATAATCAATAAAATAAAACTCTTCTCAGGCATTAAATAACATATAGCGTAGGGCTGTATTTTCTTTTTCAATAAGGTAAACATATTAGGTGACCTCCACTTCAGCTTGGCTTTCTACCTGGGGACGCTTCCAAACCACCACTAAAAAAATGGTAGCTCAGGCCAGGCGTGGTAGCTCACGCCTGTAATCCCAGCACTTTGGGAGGCTGAGGCGGGTGGATCACGAGTTCAGGAGATCGAAACCATCCTAGCTAACATGGTGAAACCCTGTCTTTACTAAAAATACAAAAACAAAATTAGCCAGGCGTCGTGGCGGACCCCTGTAGTCCCAGCTACTTGGGAGGCTGAAGCAGGAGAATTGCATGACCCTGGGAGGCGGAGCTTGCAGTGAGCCAAGATCGTGCCTCTGCACTCCAGCCTGGGTGACAGAGCAGGACTCTGTCTCAAAAAAAAAAAAAAAAATTGTAGCCCAAACAGAGACTGGTGTTTCTTAGTGGGCAAAGAGAATAGTGAAGAATAGTGATTGGAGTTTGGAGTCCCTGTGGCCTGTGGCAGCTGAAATTTAATGTACAGAGTATTAGAGAGGAGGGAACCAGTCACAGAAAAAGCTCCAAAATTCTGAAGAGAAATTTTTGGATAGTGATTATTTTTGAATTTTGAATTGTTGGCCAATTTCAGTCAGAAACCATAGGCATGACAGACAAGAGCTACTGGAGGCTGTGAGCCAAACAGCTATTCCAAAAGCCAAAGTGCTGAGGAACAGTGGAGTTCTGATTAACCTGAGTCAGGAATCTTTGATGAATACCCCAGGCATTCAGACCCTAGAAGTGCCACACTTAGAAGCAGAGTTATATAGTAATAGTGCTCTAACAAAGTAAAAGCCAAGCCTCAAAAGATCAAGTTGTTGGACCAGTAAGTTAACTACTTGTCAGAACAAAATCCAACCATTTTAAAAGGAGGAAATAAGTCTGGCTGCTCACCAACATGGCCCCAACAATGTGTGATATAAATTATAAAGAAAATATACTAGACATATGAAGAAGCAAAAATATGACCATAAGAAAAAGAAAATAGTCAATACAAACAGATACAGAGGGGACCAGAGGTTTTGAAAGTAATAGGAAAAAAATCAATAAAACAGCTATTACATGTATGTTTGAGAATTTACAATAAAAAATAAACACAGGCCGGGAGCAGTGGCTCATGCCTGTAATCCTAGCACTTTTGGACTTTGGGAGGCCGAAGCGGGTGGATCACGAGGTCAAGAGTTCAAGACCAGCCTGGCCAAGATGGTGAAACCCCATCTCTACTAAAAATACAAAAAATTAGCTGGGCATGGTGGTAGGTGCCTGTAATCCCAGCTACTTGGGAGGCTGAGGCAGAGAATTGCTTGAACCTGGGAGGCGGAGGTTGCAGTGAGCTGAGATCGTGCCACTGTACTCCAGCCTGGGCAACAGAGCAAGACTCCATCTAAAATAAAAAATAGTAATAATAAATAAACAAATGGGTAAAGAGATGAAAATTTCATCAGATAAAATAAAAACCATATAAGTTGAAACTGTAAAAATAAATTATCTGAAATTAAGAAAGCTATAGGGTGGACTTAACAGCTATTGAATACTAGAGAATAAAGAATGAGTGAACTTGAAGACAGACCAATCTATTGAACTGAAGTATAGAAAGGAAAAAAATAAATACATAAATAAACAGAGACTTTGAGATCCATGGAACAATAAAGCAGTCATACATGCTCGTAATGAAGTCCTAGAGGAAGGAGAGAGAAAATAAGGTTCAAAAACATTTGAAGAGTTAATGCTAAATTTTTGTTTTTACTTAATTTGATGAAAAATATCAACTGAAGGCCTAAGAAACTCAATTCATTTTAAACAGGATAAATCCAATGAAAAAGCACTCAATTCAACACAATAAGATTACTAAAAATCAAATATAAAGTAGCTTGTAATAAACAGTGTATTATATACAGAAGAAAAATAAAAGGAATGTCAACTGCCTTCTTTTTTTATTTATTTTTTATTTTTATTATACTTTAAGTTCTAGGGTACATGTGCACAATGTGCAGGTTTGTTACAAATGTATACATGTGCCATGTTGGTGTGCTGCACCCGTTAACTCGTCATTCACATTAGGTATATCTCCTAATGCTATCCCTCCCCCCTTCCTCCCCACCCCATGACAGGCCCTGGTGTGTGATGTTCCCCACCCTGTGTCCAAGTGTTCTCATTGTTCAATTCCCAAACTTTCACAAGGACAGAAAAGTCAACTGTCTTCTTATCAGGAACAATGCCAGCCAGAATTCAATAGATCAAAATTTTAAGATGCTGAAAGAACACAGAAATAAAGTAAATCTGTCTTAGAATTTCATATGCAGGGAAAATATCTTTAAAAAAATCAGTGAAAATAAAAGTGGTTTCACCTAAAAAAACAGAATATTTCCTTAGCGGACATGCAGTACAAGAAATATTTTAAAAACTCCTTAAGCGTAGAGGGAAATAACTTAAAAGAAACACAGATCTTCATGAAGGAGCATGGTTGATATGTTAAATATTTTATTAAATTTTAAAAGTGTTGTTTCCTCATTTATCTAAACAACAACTCAATATTTAAAACACACAATGTATTTAAAAAATAGCGTATGTAGAAATGAAGTGGATGTCCACAATTGCACAACAGTGCATACAGACATAAATGGGAATACACTGCTACAGTAGTCTTATAGCATAGATGATGTGGTATATTTATCCAAAAGATTGAATATAGTAAGTGAAAGATAAATTTTGTAAACACTAGAGTAACCATCAAATATATATATATAAAATAAAGATACACACATCTATCTAGATGTCATTAAAAATCAAATAGTAAAACAGTAAGAAATAAAAAAGAAGACTTGATTAATTTAAATAAGCCAATCCCACAAAGACACATATTGCACGTTCTCACTTATTTGTGGGAGCTAAAATGTAAATCTTACGAAGATAAGAGAGTAAACTGGTGGTTCCAGAAACTTGGAAGAGTAAGGGGAATTGGGGGATAAAGTGTGGTTAATGGGCTTAAATACACACTTAGTAGAAGAACTGAGAACTGGTGCTTGATAGATTGGTAGGATGACTATAGTTAATATTATTTCATTGTACATTTCAAAATAGTTCAAAGAGAACAATTAAATATTCCTGCCACAAAGAAACAATAAATATTTAAGGTGATAGATATCCTAATTACCCTGACTTGATTATATCAATGTATCATATTATAAACATGTGCCCCCTAAATATTTACATGTATTATGTATGAATAAATAAATGAAGAAAAAATGTAATGAAGAATAGATGGGAAAATGGAAAACAAATGGCAATATGTTAGACTAAATACATCCATGCCAATAAGTACATTAAATATAAATGGACTGAGCAAACACTCTTATTAAGTTAGAAACTGTTGGACTGAGTAAAAGACAAGACCCCATTATTAGCTATACACCAGAAATTCACTTTAAATGTAGAAGTACAAATAAGTTGAAAGTAAAAGACTGGAGAAAGCTGTAAAAATATTAATCATAAAATATTACTAGACTATTACATGTATTTTAACATTGGGTATTCATATTAAGGAATGATTGTAAATTCAGATGTAGTAATGGTATTAGAGCTGAAAATTTAAAGTTCATGACTGTCAGAGACACATGTTAAATATTTGTTGAAAACAAGATGTCTGGAGTTTACTTCAAAATAATCTTGAGCAGAAGAAAGGAACAGGTGAGAAATGAATAAGGATATAGGTGAAACAAGATCAGACATGTAATGATAATTTTTGAAGGTGGGTGATGGACACATGGAAATATACTATACGATTCTCTCTCATTTGAATATGTTTGAAATTTCCTATGATAAAAACAAAATCAATAAAAAACTGAATTCAATCTTTTATGATATAATATTAAAAAGTTTAAATAATAAAAATCTCACTGTATTTCAAACTGTTGGTTAAGCTATTTTTTAATAGTTAATCTAATTCTAAGCCTCAATTTAACAACCAGTTTCAAGCAATCAGTATGTAAGAGTATCCTGAAACCATATGGTCTGACAGCATTTGATACATTCAAGGAAAGGTTCTGGAAAGATATTACAGTTGTTAGCAAAAGTTATTTTTCAAATATCTGAGAACTGATATGACTCATGGGAGGAGAGCTACATTATAAAGATCAAAGGTAAAGGGAAAAAGAATATATTATCTTCCTATTTGGACACTTTTTCTCTCTCAAAACCCTCCTTGCTTCTCACTATCCAGTACATTGTACATTTGCCTCCCTAGACTACTTTTACGCAACACTTCCAACAATTAACTCCTCTGGGTCCACAGCTGACAAAAATCTATTCCTTATTTCTTATACTTGACTCCTGAATCCTCTGTCAAAGGCCAAAGGAGGAAAAACTGTCTGTTTGGAACTTGGTAGGATTTGGAGATGGTCACTATTTCAACTGCCAGTTCAGTAACATGATTTAAAAAATGAAGGCTGAAAATGGAAGCCTGAATGTAGTTTCCCATATAATATGATGTTTGATACAATATGAATCTAACAAGGCTTGAATCTAGAGTGGGTATTGGCTAGAGATATGGTTTGGCTCTCTGTCCCCACCAAAATCTCATGTTGAATTGTGATCCCAAGTGTTGGCGGTGGGGCTTGGTGGGAGGTGTTTGGATCATGGGATTTCCCCCTTGTTGTTCTCATGATAGTGAGTAAGTTTTCATGAGATCTGATTGTTTAAGTGGATAGCACTTCCCCCTTAGCTCTTTCTCTCCTGTCTGCCATGGTAAGACATGTTTGCTTCCCTTTCACCTTCGACCATGATTTTAAGTTTCCTGAGGCCTCCAAGCCATGCTTCCTGTACAGTCTGTGGAACTATGAGTCAATTAAATCTCTTTTCTTCATAAATTATGCAGCCTCAGGTAGTTCTTTATAGCAATGTGAGAACAGACTAATACAGTTAGTATGCATTTTTTATATTTGATATATACATTTTGGGTTCCAAACATCAGTGTCACAAATGAGTATTTTATAATATCCTATTTTGTTCAATACTGCTGGCAGAGAGTTTTAAAGTACAGTAATTGACAGGACAGATTTTGAAGTTGAACAGTCTCAGGTCCAAACCTCAAGCTGACCTTGGACCAACTACTTATCCTCTCTAAGCCCCGGTTTTCTCATTTGTAATGTAGAAATAACAATACTACCTACTTCAAAGAATGCTTATATTATGCAAGTCAAACAATTAAGATATGCAAAGCATTTAGAACTTTTCCTGCCACCTTGTAGCTCTACATATGTTACATATTAAATTAGTAGTTTTAACATTTACTGAAATTTTACATTTATTGTTAGCAATAATAAAATAGCTGAGGTTAATTGAAATCTTACTCTATATGTATTAATAATTTACATAAAACCTTATAAAGTAAGTAGTATCATGAAGCCAATGTTTACCTAATGTTCATAAGCATAAAAATGAACTCAAAATAGTAAATACCTTACCAAGTGTTCATCCACAAATAGGAATAATGAGATGAAATAACTGTGAAAGAAGATGATGGAATCTTATCATTAAATCAGTTTAAAAAAAAGTTCCCAAAGCCACTGCAAGCTCCCAAAAATGATAACAAATCTGTGGTCCAAATTTGCTGCTTTAATGATCAGTTTGCTAAATGCTACCTAATGACAACATAATAGTATGCGGAACGTTTAATAAATGTAAAATGAATTGTGTTTCAAATAATATTCTAATTGAAAATTCCATTAACAAAGAATATTGCAATAGTGGTAGATTATAGATTAATCAAAGGCTACTACAACTCTCTCCTGTGGTGCTAATGATTTATTGTTCTTTCAGTATACAGCCTAGTAAAGTCCTTTATGTTATTCACATTATTTTACAGTAGCGAGAATGAAGAAAACACTTTTGCAAGTTTTGGTGCAACCAGCCTCCTCATCAACTGTGAAGATATTTCATCACCTTTGCAAATCAAGGCCGGCATAATGAGGAATAGCTCAATTACCTACAGTACAGAATATATCTGGAAGTTCTCTTTAGTTGATTAGAATGCAAGAAATCATGATAGTCAATTGAAGCTCAGATATTTAATAATTGTTATTGGAAGGTGGCTTGGCTTACGATAAGATTTTGAATACAAAATTGAAAGGGATAATAGATTAAATAAAATTTCCAAATGGTATATAATTTCTCTATCATAAGTAAAATTATATTCCTTATGGTCTGATCACTAGTTGATAGCTGCCTTTATTCAAGAAAATCTAAAGGAAAGGGCGCTATTAGTTTCAACAGTTGGCCCCACATGGAATAGGTGTATAATGGCTTTTGATTTGCAACTCTGGCGGCTGTTCACAAGTTTCATTTGCTTTATGGTCCTATATATTCACCCCTGAAACCAACTGTTACATGTTGGTTTGCTCTGTCAGCTGCTGTTTCCCAGCAAGTCAGAGATATGTCATGCTGTTGAAGCTTTTTATCAGCAAGTTCCTTTAAAAAGATATCTTCTGCCTGCAGTTACTCTGTTTCAGCTCTCCATAGGATCGCTGCTCAGGTACCCTACCACGCTGACAGAATTTTATAATATACAAAGCTTTCCAGTTGATGTATTTGTTATATTTTAGGGTTGTTAGTAGTTACATACCTACCCTGTCTGGCAGTGAGTATTATAAGGCATAGAGTAGCAACAGAGAAGTCGTATTCAATGTCTTTAAGTTTCTATGTTTAATTAAATGTACCACTCTCCTAGACTAATAATATAAAAATGAATAGAACTTTAACTCTTATTTTTTTGCCCTTTAATTTCATTCTTGTATATATTCAAAACATTTTTTCAATGACTTTTTCAAAGGCAGAAAATGTTTAGGAGAGGTAAATTTTAATTTTTTAAAACCGTATCAATATATGCAATAAATGACATCGCAAGAGTGAAGAAACAAAGTCATGAAAGAAATTTTTAATCTCTTAATGATGACCAAATACTATCAAGCTATACTACCATGCTAAAATCTTTTCCCAAGTAACAAGGCCCAATATATTCCTCTTTTGGTCACCACCATGTCTATCTGTTTATACTTAATGTTGTCAATCTAGTAAATATGTTAATTATAAATACTGACTACTTGGCAAGGGGACTATAATATTTATGCATAAGTAAGCAGAGTGGAGGAAGCAAAAATGTGAGCTATTTAACTTTCTGGAGTAGTAAAAGTGATTTTATGAAGAGAACAGCATATCCCAATGACAGATGGGTAAGTCATGCTAAAGGTGTACTACATCTGTCTCTACTACATTTAATCAGATATATGCCAATTCTGCTGACTTGTATAAACTGTTTTGTGATAGAAGCAGGAATCTAGATTGCTCAACTAAAATCTACCTAGTTGGCTCACACAAGTTTGTCAGCAGGATTCCACTAAAATTTAAGGTAAGGGTATGGGTTTTAAATGAAGCATTAATAGATGCCTCAATATATATTACTTCTCAGCTTAGAGTCTATATTATGAACTAAACTCAGTATGGGTATGAGAGGTACATAAAGAGAATAAAAAAATCCAATCACAGTGTATAGTAGCTTAAATAACCTCATAGGTCTTTTACATTTCTAACTTCTATAAACCATTATTATTTGTTAAAACTATGATTATAGGAAAAGATTGAGGAAGATAACATTAAAAAGTATGGACATTCATTTCACCTTAAGCCAAAAAAGCTGGAAATAACCCTACATCAATCTCATTCTTAAGAGACAGAATTATACTCAATTAATTTTAATTAAATTGCTCCATTAGCTTGATTTTCCTTGACACTGTGGAATCTGACCTCCTGTATTCTACAGAGCAGTACCAACAGCCTCCATCTTAACAAACTGCTTCACTTAAGCTTTATCACTGATGACATTTAATGATCAGGAAAGGATAAGGACAGCATTTCTGCTTTTTCAGTTTGATGATACCGGTAGTACCACATGCTGAAAGCTCTCAATTTCTGGTGATACAAGGAGTACATTTAGAAAAGGTCATAATCTTTGAAGAGGGCTACATTAATTCTTGAAGTGCAGGAACTGGAACTAAATATATTTTAACTATATCTTGTTGTCTGTTTTAGAAACGCAAACAACTTATTTAATTTGAACATCAATTGATCAAATGTCAATCCAAGCAAGAGAATGAGATTTACTTTAATAAGGAATTAAAAATTTTTATTCCAACACTGTATACAATTTTTCACTCTAGGGGGTATTTTTTTTAATTTTCTAGATTTGTCTTAAATGAATTCTCATATGTTTGGGTGACTGTCCAGCTAACAAAACTTTATGAATATATATAGTCTAGGCAAAAATAAGTAAGAAGTATGCATTGAGTAGCGCATATGGAGGACCTTTCTAGAGTCTATGTTGCTATGGATATTTATTTGTTCTTGGATTGTAAATGAACAGAAAATAGTAAATGTAGTCATTATCTTTAAATTAAAAATAATGTGTATCTTCTAATAATAAGTGAAACATATATTTCAGAGGAGGGATTAAACCGTCTAAATTTTATATTATGGGACTCATGAAAGTATAATTACAATAAAAAGTCTGCTGACCCACTTCTACTTTTACCCAGTGTTATATCCTTTGGAATTATTAGGAAGTCTTTGAAATTCAAATATTATTAAAAACTCAAAATAAGAGAATTCTGGGAAGACAGTGGAGTAGGAAGCACCAATAATAAGTTTTCTCACTCAGACAATAATTACACAAGCAAAAATCTTTCCCATGTAACTTATTTAGAATGCTATAAAGGCTTGTATCTTCTAGGGGAAGGCTTTAGTGGTAAACTGAAGAAGATTTTGGTTAGTATCACTTCTTAACTCGACAGCAGCCACCTTTCACACTAACAAACTCTATGGCAGGTAGTTGTACACATGTTACTAGAGCAGTTTTCATACAACTCATGGGAGGCAGGGTGGGCAGTAAGGACACTGTTCTCTAACATTGGGGCTGTGTGTTCTGATCATTAATTGCTGTATTTGATCAAGGAGGGACAAACACAAAGGCAGGCACCCACTCTTGCTACATCTCCCCCTTATTGTTCCAAGTAGCATTTTCTTTGGCTGAAGTGACTTCCAGAGTATATAAAGCTCAAGTGAGGTTTTTTTTAATCTTAATTTTTTCTTTTTCTCATTTTTGTGAACCAGAGATTAAAGACTAAAACATTCACAGCACCTGAAAATACGGGAAAATTAGAAAGTTTTCAGGAATGCCCAGGGAGAAATGCAGGCTCAGAAAAGATCTGAAAAAAAAAAAAAAAAAAAACAACCCTTAAGTTTACACATCAGCCTAATCCTTGGCATAGAGATAGCCTACAGCATTCCAAACAAAACAAACCAAATCAAAATAAAAGCAGCATATCCAGGTGAAGGAGTGAAATATGAGTTCCAAATTTGCCATATTATTGGATTAAAATATACAGTTTTCAACACAAAAATCACAAGGCATACGAAGAAACAGTAAAGTATGTTCCATTCAGTGGAAGGTAATAAACCAACAGAAATTGTCCTTGAGAAAGTCCTGATAGTAGATCTACTAGAAAATGACTTTAAAACAACTGTCTTCAAGATGCTCAAAGAACTGAAGGAAGGCACAGGGGAAGTAAGAAATATATATGTATGAACAAAATGAAAATATAAATAGAGTATTTTAAAAATAACTAAAAGGAAGGTCTGGAACAGGGAAGTATAATAACTGAAATGAAAAATGCATTATACTGTTTGAAAGGTAGTTTTGAATAGGCAGAAAAAGAATCAGTGCATTTGGATATAGGACAATGGAATTTATTGAATCTGAGGGATGGAAATAAAAAATGACTGAAGAAAGTGAAAACTAAAGGTATAAAACACAATCATGAAGACCAATATACACATTATAGTAGTCTCCGAAGGAGAAGAAAATGAAAGAGGCAGAGAAAATATTTAAATAGTTTCTGAAAATTTCCAAAATTTGAGGAAAGACAGGAATATAAACATTCAAGAACTTTAATGAATTCGATATTGTGAACTCAAAGATACACACACTGAGACACATTTTAATCAAACTGTGGGAAGCCAAAGGCAAATAAATAATCTGGAAATCATAAATAGAAAAGTAATTTATAATATGCAACCTCAATGAGACTATCAGTAGATTTCTCATCAGAAACTGCAGTCTAGAAGGCAATGGACTATTATATTTAAATAACTACTAGAAAAAAAAAACATGTCAACCAAGAATCCTATATGTGGTAAAATTATCTTTCAAAAGTTAGAGAAAAATAAAAAAATTCTAAAATAAGCAAAAGCTGAGTTTATAACCACTAGATTGGCCCTGAAAGAAATGCTAAAAAACACTCTTGCAGTTTAAAATGAAGGATGCTAGATGGTAGCTCAAAGGTATATGAAAAAATAAAGACTGCAGTAAAAATAAATACATGAAAAATTTAATGTTAGCATTATTGTAACTTTGGTTTATAACTATACATATTGTTTCCACATAATTTAAGGTACTAATGCTTTAGGAAAAATTATTACTTTACATTTTTGGACACATAATACATAAAATGTGTTTTTGTTACATCAACAGCTGAACTACTGAACAGGGTGGAAACTAAGCTGCCAAGGAGCAGAGGTTTTTTTTTTTTTTGTTATTGAAGTTAAAATGGCTTAAATTCAAACTAGAGTGTTATGACTTGAGGATGTTAAATGTAATTACCATGGTAACCACACAAAAAAGCTCTAGGATACACAGAAAAGGAAATATGAAGGGAATTCAAATATTTTTCTACAAAAGAAATCAATTAAACACAGAAGACAGTAATGCAAAAAATCAGGACAAAAAATTTATAATGCTTGCAGAAAAAAATGGCAAAATGACAGAAGATTTTCCTTATCAGTAATTACTTTAAACATAAGTAGATTAAGCTCTGAAATTAAAAAAAAAAAAAAGAATGGCAGAGTGGACTTTTAAAATCAACCAACAATATGCTGTTTACTAAAGATTCACTTTGGATCCAAAGACAGAAATAGGTTGAAAATGACAGATTTAAAAAAGATATTCCATACAAATAGTAACCAAAAGAGATCAGGAGTAACTATACTAAAATCAGAAAATATGGACATTAAATTTAAAAAGGTTACAAGTGACAAAGAAGGACATTATGTATTAATAACAGAATCAACACTGCATGAAGATATGTAAACATTCATGTACCTAATAACAGACATCAAATACATGAAGCAAAAATTAACAGTATTTAAGGGATAGACAGTTCTATAAAAGTAGTTAGAGACTGATATCTCATTCTTAATAATGAAGAGAACAACCAGACAGAAGATAAGTAAGGAAAGAGAAGAAACACAATAAGCTAACTAGGTCTAACAGACATATAAAGAACATGATACCCAACAACAATAGAATACCCATTCTTCTTAACTGCACATGAGACCTAAGTCCCAATATATATATATTTTTAAATGGAAGTCATAAAAGAAAATCTTCTCCAACCACAACAGGATGAATTTAGAAATCGATAATAGAAGAAAAGCTAGAAAGTGAACAAATTAATGGAAATTTAAAAACATAGTCTTACACAACCAATTGATCGAAAGAGAAATAAGGGAAACTAGAAAATAGAATCAAAAGAAAACAAAAATGCAACAAACCAAAACCTATGGGATGCAGCAAAACAGTGCTAAGAAGAAAATTTTGAGATACATTTTAAAATAATCAAAAGGAAAATCTGGAGCTGGGAAGTATAATAACTGAAATGAAATTTCATTTTCATTTACTTAGAATTTAAAAGAAAAAAAGATCTCAAATCGATAGTCTCTCCATACAACTTATGGACCTGTAACAAGACAAACAGACAAAACCCAGAGGTAGAAGAAGGAAGGAAATAATAAACGTTAGAGCAAAGATAAGTAAAATGGAGGATACGATTCCATCTTAAATAGAGGAAATATTCTGACATATGCTACAACATGGACGAATCTTGATGACATTAAGTGAAGTGAAATACACAGATCACAACAGGACAAATCATGCATGATTCCACTTATATGAGGTACTCAGCGTAGCCAAAATTATAATGTCAGAAAGGAGAATGCCAGTTGCCAGGTGCTGCAGGGACAGGAGGATAGAGATTTAGTTTAATGGGATAGAGTTTCAGTTTTCCAAGATGAAAAGAGTTCTGCAGACAGATGGTGGTGATGGATGCACAACATTAATGTGTTTAAGACCACTGAACTGTACACTTAAAAATAGATAAGATGGCAAATTTTATACCATTTGTACTTACCAAAATAAGAATTGGAAAAAAAGGTAAACCACAAAATAAGCAAACAAAAAAGATATGTTTGTGAAATTGATGCTTCCAAAAAATGACACAATATTAGGCAACAACTTTGTCTGTATACTAGACAACTAATTTTAGTAATTGTGATAATTCACTTATAGTATATGCATATTCCTACAGAAAGAATGACCCTAAAAACCAAAAGATGTTCAATGAATTTCCCAGTTACTTCCTGACTAGTATATTAAGCTTTTAAAACAATATTATCTCTAACCTTTTTTGATTTCTTGTGACCTTCATCAATTTACACAAGTGAACTTTGAAGCCCATTTTATTTTTCCAGTGTTTATTAATGCCCTAATCCTTATTAGCAAAGATGATACTATTAGTAAATATTATGGTTAATTTACTTGGAGCTACTTGAAATTACTCTTGTCATTTCATATTTTTGTCCATCAAGAGGCTGGTGTTTCTTTTTAGAGTATCAAGTCACTTCACTTGTATCAAGGCTGAGCAGTTTGGCTTTTTATATGTGTAGTGGCCTGAAGACACAGGCTCCAGCCTCTAGCATATGAATTGCATGATGATAATCAATCTCAGTGTGTTTGACTGATAAATATATATTAATTATTTTTAATGAGCTCAAAAGCACAGTATCATTCTCTAGCAAACTTAAAATAGCAAGTAACTTCTTAGTTTTGACTTCACAATTAGAGGACAGTTTAAAATTTCTGTATTTAAATATATTGATGAATTACATACTTTTTATTAAATAATATAGTATACATTCTTTTATAATCAGAAACCTGATATAAGGACTCCAGAAAACTCCAATATTGTTCATTGATTTAAATGCATTTACAAAACCATGTCAGGAAATAACTTAGAAAACAATTGATTTGGAATATATGTTCCAGATAATCCATAAATTCATCTCTCCTCTACTTTTCCCAGTTTGTATGCTCTGTTTCATGCCATGCTGCCTGCAGCAAAAACGATTCACAATAATATCCCAATAATTCACTTCAAAGTTTACCTTTTTTTTTTATTCTTTATCCCTGGTTTGCAAAGTAGTGTCTGGAGAAGTTAGGAATACTATATAGTAGAGACAATGATTCAAAGTAACTTTTTTGCTTGGATATGATTCATCATATATCCATTTTTATTGAACAATTTTATGCATGTATATGTTAAAAATACATTTCCTGAATTTTTCTTATTGTCTTCAGCCTCAAGTTACAAGATAACATAGCTCAGTATTTGATAGCTACAATTATCCTAAGAATCCTTTTGGTCATTTTTGGAGCGCCACCATAATAAAATTATGACGCAGTAAATATATGCTTCCTTCTACTTAGAGGCCCGTTAATAGCAATGTATAAGATTCAATTTTTACCCCTTGTAGAAGTTTCCTTTGAAAATATGTAACAACAAAATTGGTTGTAATAGTTCCTGTCTGATTTGGCTATCTATTGCATTACTTAATAATGATTTACTTTTTCATACACAGAAAGGAAACCTGTGTGAGGATGAGAAGGGCTTAGGGCTTCATTGAGATTTACGTGGCAGAATAAAATATGAAAATTCATATCCATTATCAACTAAGACATAAACTGTGGGCATCCTCAGCTTAAAGTAACCTGAAACTTTTTTCTTTTCTTTGTATGAAAATAGATACTATATAAAGAAATATGATGCCATAGTAACTAGCATTTTTAGTTATTCAAAATTAAGCTCATTGACTAAAGCTATAAAGAATTAGAAATATGCATTTACCCTTGGACATTAGCCAAAGATAACTCTATTTAAAATGCTTACACTTACCAGTATTTCCCTCTTTTTAATTGACACAATTTATTGTGTAATTTCCCACATTATTTCAGTTGAGAAATTAAACATATACATCATCATTAAGACAACAGAAAAATTATCTAGTTATCAATAACAATAAAATTTAAATGGCTGATATTAAATTTAAAATATTCCAAAGTTGGGTAATCAATCAGGTATGATTTGTAAATTGAAGGAGCAAATATATATTTGGGAATTTAACAAATATTCCTTTTCCCATTTCAGAATATTTATATAATTTTCATTTGCATCAATAAATGTTCATTAAGAAATGAGGCACATAGCTCATTCTCACCCCGAAACCCAACCAAGAATGACATTAATAGGAATCATTCCACACTAAAACTTATGGTAAAGCTGTTTCATTTAAAGATATTTTTTAATGTATTGGCCACAAAATATTTAGGCCCTCATAAATGTAAGGATTTTTAAATTTAGGAAAATGAAATCTTACATTAGATGTTAGATTTTTTGATACTTTTAAACAGGGTGACTTTTTAATGTTATTTGTCATAATTATAATTAGATATAACTTTTGTCACATTTCAGAATTTTCTTAGAACACCTCTTTATTAGTTTTTAAATGTTCTAACTTCATCATGAAGAAAATTAAAAGAATGGTTTTAAAAAAATTCTCCATTCTCCCTTTCTGCTTGTGTTGTTAGCAATGCGAATAACGCCTCCATACTGTCATGTTAGCTGATAATGATACACTCTGCCCACGGTTATTTTAAAGATTTATCCACTTGACAAAGTCCTACAATAGTGGAAATAGAAATATTTTTATCTCAGAAGTTATAAATGAAAATAATTAGTAGCCTCCAAAAAGGTTAGCCAAAATGGTCCGATAATAGCTATTATTTCTAATCATAAAATGACTAACTTGAAGGCATAGGTTTATCTTAATGAACAAAATATTCAAATTATTTTTCTTGGCACAAATGCTACAATGAAATCATCCCTTGTTTTATGCAACATATATTTTAATTTAAATCTAGTTCAATAGAAGAAATCACAGTTTTCATAGGAAGGCAAAGAGGTTTTATTGGGTATATGCAAGGGAAATGAATGTATTTATATATAAGTATGAGGTGATATAAAGTTGAAGAAAAAAATGGAATGAAGGAGTAGGTGTCTATGAGCAAGTAAGGAATTACCTTTTAAAGTAGCTGGTAAACTCTTGATTGTGCATATGGTTCCTTCTCTGTTCTAGAAGTATAAAACGTAAGACTCTTCTAAGTAATACACTACCGAATTTTGCTAATCGCTTGGTAAGGAACTAAGGAAACATGGAAAAGCTGTGTTCATTTACTCATGTATCATTTCTTTGCACTTTTTGTCCTGTTTATGTAAATCCAAGCAAGAGCAAACTTGAACCTTCTCTTAGTCATCGTTTTGGACAGTTTGTAAACTGGAACCAGCCTTTTATAATCTGACCCAGCTAAAAGACTCATAAGTAATAAAAGACAAATACATTAGGGATAGCAGCTTGAAAAATCTGTTCTTATTCTTTGTATCTTCCTATAATAATGGGTAATTACTGAGTCCTAGCACATCTTTATGAATAAAACACATCACTTTTGAAATCTTGGCCCAACTCTGGCCTCTTCCACATATACTTGCATGATTAGCCATTAAAAATGAATATTGCATGCATGATTTCTACATTAAGGCATCTTAGAATTTTCAGTATGAATGGGGGAAGAATGATATTTTCGTGGATATTCTCTACCATCTGAAAAAATAACAAAATAATTTTCATGAAAATATGCTGTTACAAAATTTCGGAAAACAGAAGAGGTACACAGTGAACGTTAACGTTCAGTGTTAGAATTGTTTATAAGAAAGGATGTGCATCTATCTAACAGATTTTATTGCACGTTATCCGAGGAAAGAATGTACTAACTAAAGAAAAACTAGTCTTTCCACATGCTGCTTACAAAAATGGAAATGTAAAGGTTGAGAATTCAACAGTATCAGAAAGCATTTTCCAGGAGTGTTAATGAATCTGGAAAATGTGGGGTACCAGAGAGCATTGGATGTAGCACAGGAATGGATTTATTCTTTCACACTTCAATCTCAGTGGACTATTATTTTGTATAACTTACTTTCCCCCCACATCCTTGTCCCAAAATATTTTCTATTTTTTCATTATGTTTTCTAAAGTATTGATCAGGAAGAGTACATCTTAGAAAACAAAAATATTATGGTAAATGCATAAGAATACTGTATTATGATTTTTGTTTATATATCATTTCATGCAACAATCTTGAAGTGAGTGCACTTAAATAAAATTATCTTTGAGTGCTCTATCTGAAACATTCTAAAGTCGAGATCTGAAAAGTGAGAGATCAGTTTGTGTTGATTCCCCACCAAAGTGATGTAATTGCTACTACATGAGGCTCTGTCTAAGCAATCAACTGGATTTCCTGTGTATTTACCCAGCTTTCCCTTCTCTAATTCCTCTCCTTTAAATGCAGGCTCTAAGCATTACTGTAAAGTGTTGTTTGTAAAAAACATGTAAATGGCAATAACTAAATGAAAACTACTTTAGCATAGTGGCTTTGAAGGTGCTAACACTCATTTGGCTTTATATGATTTAGATGCTATATTACTTTATTTTTAGAAGATATAATTTTGTTTTATACATAACTTTAGTATTTTATTTGCACTCTGTGTTCCTTATAATATAACCATCTTTATTTCTGCATCTACATGACATTGTAATCTATTGGGGCACAGAAAGTCCTGTAGAAACAACTAGAGTGTAGAAAATAACACTACAGTACTCCTTTAATTTTCTCTTTGGTCAAAGAGTCCTTTCTGGTGGAATTTTCTGGAAAGGAAATGCACATACACACATATATGTCTACATGCAAATGTGTGTATGTGTGTACATAAATATATATATACACATATAATAAATGTGATACATATACACATACAATGAATGTGATTGTGTGTGTGTATATATATATATATATATATATATACACACACACACACATACATGCAAACACATTCATTGTAGTTCAAAATTAAGCATTCTAATAAAAGGAATGGTGTAAATGAGTAAGCATTCTTTTTGCTTTGAGGCTAAAATCGTGATTATTTTTGCTTCAGTTCCTTTTGCTTCCTTTCCAATGGCCCAGTGACCTGGGTGGGCTTGTATAATGTACAGATAAAAAAGAAAATGTCTGTCTTCTCTCTGACATCAGGACCTTTCACCAAAGAAAATTGTAAGCATTAATTAATGTGATTTGCTTAGCTCTTCCAAACACAAATGCTGTCTGGGCCAGACCTAATGGGGCTTCAGCTATGCCTTTACCAGCGTGGCTAATCTAATTCCCTGTGCAATCCTTTTTTCTTGCTTCACTGTTTGCTCAGTAGACACACTCACTTTCTCTGAACATTTCTTTCTGAAGTTATATATACTGTGGATTCACATTTTAATGAGATGAAATATTTTAATAGAAGTATTTAATAGAGAAATTAGAATAATTCATCACTATTCAGCTACCAGTGTAACTGGAATAAGGAGTACCGTATCTAAACTGTTTGAAATAATGAGTAAATCTACTTTGAATGGATCATTTATTATATTCCCATAAGGTCATGATATGCCTTATAAATATATTTGACAACATTTTTTACCATAGTAAAGTATATTTAATTGTTTTAATATTTCTTACTTATAAGGGCTGAAGCTCCATTTCATGTAAAAAAGTGGAGAACAGTAAATAATTACCCTAATAACTCAATGATATCATAAACAATCACAATATATTAGCAAAGTCCATAGTCATTGGGAGATAAAATTTACAGAAATTGTGTCTTCTTTCTCCTACCACTGTATTTCACATGTCTGAACAAAGATACACATCTACATGTTATTTCAATTTGCCACAGCATGCACAGATATTGAGATACAGATTTCAACTAATTATATTCTGAATAGAAGGACAATGTTCTGAATGACAAGGGAAACTCCATTATCAAAGGCTGTATTATGAAAGGGAAATGTCTAAGGATTTTTTCAATAAAAAATAAAAACAAAATTAAAATAAACTAATCCTGCATAACTAAACTGAGGAAAACAAATAGAGCATTTATTAGTGTTTTTTTAATTTTGTTTTTTGCTTTTTGTTTTTCCTCTTTCAGATACTGATAAAGTTAACTCTGGCATCGAAATGACACACGCTTAATTCTAAATGTTTTACTTTTAAAAATAAAAATAAATAAATATCCAGTGGTATAATTTAAGCTGGTTCCATGTGAACCAAAAATACATATTTGTAAAACATTAAAATGATCTAGGACGCTATCTGCTTGAATAATTTCATAGCACGAGTATACGCATATTTGGTGTAACAGAAAAATAATGAAAAATATTAATTAGGAAAACATACCATCAAATTCAGCTTGAATTTAAGAAACAACAAGAATAAATATAAGTGTAGAGGCTGACAAATAATAAAGAAAGTAAAGTGACAGTTCAGACACTATGAAGTCACAAATAAGTACAATAAGAATCCAAGTAAATGATTCACACAGATTATGTGATGGTATATTGATAAAAGTAGTAAGTGATGCCCTGGAGCCTTCTTTCACCACCAACTTTTCAAATGCCCCTGAATAATCACTCTTTCTTCCCCAAAATATATATCTTAATTAAAAGAAAGCCTTTTCTTATTGTACTATTTGAAAGCAACAGTAAAAGTATTAAGATACTGCAGCTAATTTCCTGACATTTATTTTATGATTGGAAATTCCATACTGTAAGCTGACAAACCAATGGTTTATAGAAAAAAAAATAAATGCAATATGGGCACTTCTGTTTTAGCATCCTCTATATTCCTTTGCTTCAGAACATATTTTGACATAATGTTTACCTTTCTAAAAATTTGTATATACCAACTTTGGTCTGTTTTCCTACCTTAATTACGTCACATCTTATAAAATTACTCTAATTGCTAAAAAATGTTCTTTAAAACACAAGTTAATTCCTCATGTTAATATTCTCTCAAGAAGCAGCACATTTCTCAGGGATTCAGCATGAGATTTATTAATTTTCATTGCATGGGAGAGCTCACAGGAAATTGCCTTCCATAGAGGGTGACAGAGCAATTGTAGGTTTAGAGTCATATGTGGTATTAGAACTACTTTCTATGATTAGATTGTGATGATTTTAAAGTTTTAGTACATTTTGAAACATTTCTGTAATTGTTAACCATGTGCCATTATACAGACCAATTTCACAAACTTTTCATGGCCTGTTACTGTGTGAAATGATTAGAAAAGTGTTTTTTTTTTTAATTTTTCTTTCATGGTGGCTAGGTAAGGAACTTGCTAGAATGTACTGTTCTCAGCATTGTTGTTAACTTTGTGAGTTAGACCTTTACACTTGCAAAAAGTATATGGAGAACAATGGATAGCAGCTTTTCAGCAATTTCAAACACTATCTGGTAATGACATCAAAAAGAGATGTTTATTATCATCAGAGAATTACAAATTAAAGCCATAATAAGATATCACCTCATACCTTGTTACAAATTTCCATTATCAAAAAATAAAAAATACAAAAGCTAGTCAGTGTGAGGATGTACAGATAAGGAAACCCTTGTATACTCTTGCTAGGCAAACCAGTTAGTACAGCAATTATAAAAAATAGTATGGAAGTTCCTCAAAAAAATAAAAATAGAACTACTACTCTGCAAGATAAAATGTTCAACAAACTCGGCATAGAAGGACCACATCTCAAAATAATAAAGACTATATATGAGAAACCCACAGCTAACATAATACTGAATGGGGAAAAGTTGAAAGCCTTTCCTCAAATACCTTGAACAAGACAAGGATGTCTATTTTCAACACTATTATTAAACTTGGTACTGGAAATCTTAGCCAGTGCAATCAGGAAAGAAAAAAAGAAAAAAGAAAACACAATAATTGGTGTCCAAACTGGAAAAGAGGGAGTCAAATTATCCCTCTTTGTAGATGACATGATCTTATATGGGGAAAATCTGAAGACTTAGAACTGATACATTTGGTAACTTACAGGATACAAAATCACATACAAACTCAGTAATATTTCTAGCCATCAATAATGAAGTAGATGAAAAAAAATCAAGAAGTCAATCCCATTTAGAGTGGCTACAAAAAAAAAGAATACTTAGAAATGAATTTAACCAAAGAAGTGAAAGATCTCTGCAAGGAAAACTATAAAACACCAGTGAAAGAAATTAAAAAGGACACATAGAAATGGAAAGACAACCCATGCTCACAGATCAAAATAATTAAAATGACCACATTACTCAAAGTAATCTGCAGATCCAATCCAATCCTTGTCAAAACACAAAAGTTATTTTTCATAAAAACAAAGAAGAAAGCAATCCAAAAATTAGTATAGAACAACACAAAAGGCTCAAATAGCCAAAGCAACTCTGAGTAAAAAGGACACAGCTGGGACATCATACTACCTAACTGCGAAATATAAGACAAGGCTATAGTAACCAAAACAGAACATATTGGTATAAAGTTTGACAAATGGGACAGAATAGAGAACCCAGAAATAAACCCACATATTTACGCCAACTCGTCTTTGACAAAGTCACCAAGAACAAACATTGGAAAAAGAACACCTTCTTCAATAAATGGTGCTTGGAAAACTGCATAACCACATGCAGAAGAATGAGACTGGACCCCTATTTCTCACCACTTACAATGTCAACTAAAGATGGGTTAAAGACTTCCAATAAAACCTAAATTTATAAAATTACTATAAGAAACCGTAAAAAAACAAACACTCTTCAGGACATCAGGCTAAGCAAAGATTTTATGGCTAAGACCTCAAAAGCACAGGCAAAATTTTAATGAGACATATTCAACTAAAAAGCTTCTTCAAAGCAAAAGAAACAATCAACAGAATGAAGAGACAACATCTTCAATGGGAGAAAATACTTGGAAATTATTCATCTGACAAGGGACTAACATCCAGAATATAAGGAGTTCAAACACTTCAACAATTTTTTTTTAAAATTCCATTTGAAAATAGGCAAAAGACACAAATAGCAATAGAAGACATACAGGTAGCCAACAGAGATATGAAAAAAATGCTTAACATTGTTAATCATCAGGGAAATGCAAATCAAAACCACAATGAAATATCACTTCACCCAAGTCAGAATAGCTATTATTAAATAAACAAACAATAACAGATACTGGCAAGGATGCAGAGAAAAGGAAACTCTTATTGACTCAAATTGGCTCAAACTGCTCCTCTACATAACTACTTGTCACCTTCTTCAAATTTTTATAATGCCACTCATGAGTTTGAAATCTTCAGTGTATGGGCAGTGTTATGGATTGAATCTTTGTATCTCCTTGAAATCCATGTTGATATCCTGACTGCTAGTGTGATGGTATTAGAAGGTGTGGCTTTGGGGAGGTAATTTGGTTAAATGACCTCATGAGAATGAAGTCCTGTGATGAGATTAGTGCCTTCTTAAGGGAGGAAGAGACATCAGAGCTTGTTCTTTCTGCCATGTGAGGATAGGAGAGTCAGGAAGTGGGCCCTCACCAAGACTGAATCTGCCATTTCCTTAACCTTGGATTTCTGGGTCTGCAGAACTGTGAAAAATAAATTGTTGCTTAAGCCACACAGTCTGTGGTGTTTTGTTATAGCCACCCAAGATCACTAAAACATACAGCATTTACCCTTTGGAGTAATGGTCCAGCAATATCACAAACTATATAAACTTTCTGGATAATTCTGCCCCTAAGAATGTCAGCCATCCTCTTTCCACATATGAAGTGTATTTTACTATTCCTTAAAATTAGTTCTCATGTATGTTTGTGACATAGGATATCTAAGCTACAGAGGTTAACCATCCTAATAGCCAAAAAGTATTCAAGAATTTATGACCACATAAGATGTCACAAATATATTACAAAGGGCAGCTTTCATAATATGCTTGGGCATGAGCCCACACTGATAATTTTAGGAACTGTAAGAATGGAAGCTATGCCCCTAGTGACTTGTCTGAAATAGTGAAGATGTTGTTCCCACCCAAATCTGCTGGCTCACTATTGTTTTATAGCTGTGGAACATCCAGCAAGTACAGCATACAATAGGTCCTCATTAAAATCAATGAACATTTAAATTCATTTTTTAGTTTTACCAAAATATATTTGATAGAAAAGTAAGACATAGTTTAACACAATAATAACAGATTCTCTATTTTCATGGGGCTTAAAGGAAATGTGCCCAAGATAATAGGGGAAAACCAGACGATGAACAAAAGTAGAAACTAGTGGTACAGAAGTTTACCATATTTCATGATAAATTCATTGCAGTTACTCAGAAAAAAGATAAGTGAATGTTTGTGTGTATGTAACCGAAATTTCTCTAGCTCCTGAAAACAATTACAAACACACAAACACACACACACACACACACAGACACATGTGTGTGTGTGTGTGTAATTTTGGCCAGGCGCGATGGCTCACACCTGTAATCCTAGCACTTTGGGAGGCCGAGCGGGGCTGGATCACGAGATCAGGAGTTCAAGACCAGCCTGGCCAAGATGGTGACACCCCATCTCTACTAAAAATACAAAAAAATTAGCCGGGTGTGGTGGCAAGTGCCTGTAATCCCAGCTACTTGAGAGGCTGAGGCAGAGAATTGCTTGAACCTGGGAGGTGGAGGTTGCAGTGATCGTGCCACTGGACTGGAGTGACAGAGTGAGACGCCAACTTAGAAAAAAAAAAGTATATATATGTATTTATATATATTTATATATATTTATATGTATTTATAAATATGTTTATATATATTTATAAATATATGTTTATATATATTTATATGTATTTATAAATATATATTTATATGTATTTATAAATATATTTTTATATATTTATATGTATTTATATATTATATATATATTTATAAATTTATATATATTTATATATATATATATATTTTTTTTTTCACCATCTTGGCCAGGCTGGTCTTGAACTCCTGATCTTGTGATCCACCCCCCAACCCCCCCAGCCTCCCAAAGTGCTGGGATTACAGGAGTGAGCCACCGCGCCCGGCCAAAATTACATATTTTTAAGACAGTGTTCCACTCTGTCACTCAGTTTGGAGGGAATGACAGCTCACTGCAGCCTCAACTTTCCAGGCTCAAGCAATCCTCTTGCTTCAGCCTCCTGGGTAGCTGAGACTACAGGCATGTGTCACCATGCCTGGCTAACTTTTAATTTTTTTTTTTGTAGAGACAGGGTCATAAAATGGTGCCCAGGCAAGCCTCAAACTCCTGGCCTCTAGCATTCCTCCTGACTTATCCTCCCAAAGTTCTGGGAATATTTATATATGAGCCATCGTGCTTGGCTATATTTGATTTTTAAGTAAAGACTGTGATGGTTAATTTTATGTGTCAACTTGACTAGGCTACAGGATGCCCAGGTGGCTGGTAAAACATTATTTCTGTCTGTGAATATATGGGAGTTTCTGGATAGATTAACATATGAATCAGTAGACCGAGTAAAGAAGATCTGCCCTCACCAGTGTGGGCAGGCATCATCCAATACATTGACAATCTGAATAGAACAAAAAGGCAGGGGAAAATCCATCTTGTTCTGCCCATAATAAACTGAGTGTTATCTGACTCACCACACCATAAAGTTGTGCATGCACTGCATCTTCAAATGGAAATGGTACGTATGTGATTGATCCTGAGGAGGCCCTGAATGCACAAGTAAGTACATGAAGAAGTGGTCCAAACAGCCATGGTCCCCACTCCTGACACATGCCTTCTTTTTCCCAGCCTGCACCTCTAGCCTCATGGGGAGTGTTCTATGAAAGTTGACAGAGAAAAAGAAAACTTTGGCCTTGTTTACAGAGGGTTCTGCACAATATGCAGACATGACCTGAAAGTGGACAGCTGCAGTACTACAACCCCACTCTGGGACATAGCTGAATGACAGTTGTAACAGGAAATCCTCTCAATGGGCAGAACTTCAGGCAGTGCACCTGTTTTGAATTTGCTTGGAAGGAGAAATGGCCAGATGTGTGATTATATATCAATTCATGGGCTGTAGCCAATGATTTGGCTGGCTATTCTGGGACTTGGAAGGAACATGATTGGAAAATTGGTGACAAAGAAATTTGGGGAGGAAGTATGTGGACTGACCTCTCAGAATGAAAAATAATAATATTTGAGTCCCATGTGAATACTTATCAAAGGGTGACCTAGCTAGTGGAGAATTTTAATAATCAAGTGGATAGTATGACCTATTATATAGATACCAGTCAGTCTCTTTCCCCAGGCACTCCTATCGTCATCCAATAGGTTTATGAACAAAGTGGCCACGGAGGCAGGGATGGAAGTTAGGCATGGTATGAGCAACACAGACTTCCACTCATCAAGGCTGACCAGGCTATGACCACTGTTGTATACGCAATCTGCCAGCAGCAGAGACCCACACTGAGTCCCTGATGTGGCACCATTCCCCAGAGTGATCAGCCAGCTACCTGGTGGCAAGTTGATTGCATCGGACTGTTTCCATCATGGAAGGGGCAGTGTTTTATCTTTATTGCAATAGACATTTATTCTGGATACAGGTTTTCCTTTCCGGCATACAATGTTTCTGCCAAAACTACCATCTATGCACTTATAGAATTCCTTGATTGCTGTTATGATATTCTACACAGCATTGTTTCTGATCAATGAACCACTTTGACAGACAAATAAATGCAGTCATGGGCTATGCTCATGGAATTCACTGGTACAACTATGTTTCCCATCATCCTGAGGCAGCTGCCTTGACAGAACAGTGAAATGACCTTTTTAAGACTCAAGTTCCAATTCCAGCAAGGTGATAATACCTTGTGGGGTTGGGTCAGGGTCCTACAGAAGACTGTATAGGCTCTGAATCAGCATCCACTATATGTGGTTCTGTTTCTCTGATAGCCAGGATTTATGGGTCCAGGAACCAAGCAAAAGAAATGGGAGTGGTACCACTCAGCATTACCTCTAGTGACTCACTATCTACATTTGTGCTCCCTGTTTCTATAACTTTATACTCTGCTGGCCTACAGGTCTCATTTCCAGAAAGAAGAGTGCTTCCACCAAGAGACACAATGATAATTCCACTGAACTGGGAGTCAAGGCTGCCACTCAGATACCTTGTACTTCTCATGTATCTGAATCAACAGGCAAAGAAGGGAATTATTGCACTGGCTAGGGTGATTAATCCTTATTACCAAAGGGAAATTGGACTAATATTTCTCAATGTAGATACGAATGAATATGTCTGGAATACAGAAGATATCTTAGAACTTCTCTTAGTAATATCACGCCCTGTGATTAAGGTGATTGAAAACTACAACAACCCAAACTAAGCAGGACTAACAATAGTCCAGGCTATTCAGATATGAAGATCTGGGTCACCCTACCAAATAAAGAACCATGACCAGTGGAAGTGATTGTTGAAGGCAAAGGGAATATGAAATGGGTAGTAGAAGAAGGTCGTTATAAATACCAGCTATAACCGAATGACTTGCTAAAGTAATGAGAACTGCCAGTATCATGAATATTTCCTCCTTATTTTGTTATAAATATGTTGGTATGCATATATACATATATTAAGCAAATCTATTGTTTTTCCCCTCTCCTATATTATGAAATGTAATAGATATTGACCTCATAACATTACATACAGTCCCCAGCTTATGATGGTTCAACTTATGATTTTTCAAATGTACAATGGTGTGAAAGTGATATGCATTCAATATGCTCCTCAACTTATGATGGAGTTATGTCTGATAAACCCTTTGTAAGTTGAACGTATTAAGTCAAATGTGAACTTCTGACTTAATAATATTTATAACTTATGAAGAGTTTACAGAGACATAAGATCACCAGTCGAAGAGCATCTCTACTTAGTTATTGTTAATTTCACATCCTAGTTTCTAAGTTACGAGATATCAAGAGTAAAAATTACTCCAGGATTTTACCTCCACTTCAGAGGAAAGAATTAGTTCCATTTTGGTTGCAGGCAGGATAGTTGTATAATGTTAAGCAGAATTATGATCTTGTTATTGTCTTTATTTGGTTATTAAGTATGGTTCAAGGAAATACCTATGGGTACCCAGTGATGGACTTGTGATGGTTAATTTTACATGTCAACCTGATTGGGCCAAGCAATGCCCAGATAGCTGGTAAAACATTACTTGTAGGTGTGCCTGTGAGAATGTTTCTGGAAGAGATTAATATAGGAATCAGTAGATGGGGTAAAGATCTGCCCTCACCAATGTGGGTGGGCATCATCCAATCAGTTGAGGGTCTGAAAAGAAAAAAAAAAGGCAGAAGAAGGGCAAATTCTATCATTTCTCCTGGTATTAGGCATCAGAGCTCATGGTTCTTGTGCCTTCACACTCAGGCTTGGAGTTACAACATTGCCTCGTCTGGTTCTCAAGCCTTCAAACTTTGAATTTCACCATGAGCTTTCTTGGTTTTATAGCTTATAGATGGTAAACTGGTGGGAATTCTCTACCTCCATAGTCATATGGCAAATTTTCATAATCTTTCCCTCTCTCCCGTTACCTCTTCCTCATATATAACTATATACATATATAGTTAGTATAGTAGTTAAGTAGTAAGTAGTAGCTACACCTTGTAGTTAAGTAGTTACTATAGTTAACTTTTAGTAAAGTGGTTAGTTATATATATATTATATATATATATATATATTTGTAAACTTGTAACACTGTTTGTAGACTTGTAAACACTGAAATAATTTCTACATATTCTATATCAGCTAGTTCTACACATAAATAATTGTCTCTAAAGAAATAATGAAATATATTTATCATATTTATGTATCTGATAATATATATTTTATTTTAAAAATCAATTTGACAACTTAATTTTTATCTTTGCATCATGAATCATCATTTATTAATATGGAATAAATGTGAACTGATATAGTAAATGAATCAAGTGCAATAATCAAATGGGAACTAAAGTTTTAACTCTAAATCATACTAAAATGGTTGTGGTATACTTCCATAACTCATTTCAAGCAATGCCCTTGCTTTACTGGGCACACTTCTCCTTTATCAACCGCTTGTTTGACCATTGCAATTTATATACAGTCTTATTAATTACTCTTAACATGGCATTTTTATTATTTTTAAATTTTCTACCCAGACAGAATGTAACTTCAGTGAAGGGAGAAACGGCTGTTTCTTTCAACCCCCAGCATTAACAGCCATGCTCGATACATGCTAAGTGCTTGATAAATGTATGTTGTTTATTAAATTAAACTACTTCTGATATGTGTCCCATTGTGAAATAATGTGGAGAGGTGACAAAATATTCCAAGAAATGTAACTACTTTTACATAAGATACTGAGATCAATAGTATAATAAAAATGAGGAGGCTTATACTGCTGAAAACTTTTGGTGATTTACAGTATTTGGGGATGCACCCGTATGCACACTAATAATTACCTACCTCATTTATTTAAATGTATTCAAAATAAAATCAAATCTATAAATATTTCTAGCTCTTTAAGATAAAGGGACTGAATTAGACATTGCTTCAACTTTCATTGCTGGTACTATTGAATCAAGGCACTGAATGCTACAGATCTCAAAAAGAATTTTATTGTCATTATACAAGGTAAAACTTGAATATTTCATCAAAAATTTCAGGATAAAAAATGTCCCCAATGAGTGAAACTTCATTTTATGAAATTATTTTTAACAGGGTACAAAGTAAAGGGGATCTGTTTACTTCCTTAATCTGTATAACAAAATGAGCAGAATATTATCTTCCAAATCGAACATATCATACAAGAGAATTTTCACATAAGTGAAACTAGGCCATTCTGTCTAATTCAACTAATTTCTATTTATAGATAAGGAACATTTCAAATTATTGGTTCCAGAGTGAAACTGGGTTCAGACATACATGTTAAATTTGTTAAGTATAATGAATTTCCAAACTTGTATATGGAATGTAACATATTTGTTTAAGAAAATAAGATTTCTTTTTATTTTCCTTAGTCACATTTTTCTCTTAAAGTTCAATCAACTAAGGAAAATTTCATAACATATAAAGTGATCTAAAATTGTTGGTATGCTATAGAAATTTTTAACTATTCTGCAGAAAATATGTATTTTATCTTCAATGTCACTTTACCTAAATAATGAGAAACCATTATGGAGCCACAGTTTTATAAATGCTTATAAAGAGTGGCTTTATAGTTTCCTTATTTAAAACAAACAAAAAAACCATAATTCAAGCCATGATCATTTTGCAACAATTCATTGTCCTATGGTTGGATAAGGTTTACTTGTATATCTAATTAGACTGAACTTCACACTGTATCATTTATTGGTTAGAATTTTTTATTGTTTTCTCTTTGTTCAAAAAACAAAATTATCTCAGGTCCCCTTACAAAAAAAATCTTACAATAGTAATAGTAAAGCAATTATATAATTTTACTGTGTGGTTGACACCATTCCAAACACTTTACAAATGTTAACATTAATTTAATCCCCATAACCCTATCAGCAGACACTATCATGATTTTATCTTATAAACAAGGAGATACACAAGGAGATAAAGTAAGTTATACAGGATCACACCATTATTAAATGTTTCTGAATCCCTCCTCTACATATTGGGAAACATTGCCTCTCAGTCCCACTCTAACCGATCATTGTACATTTGTTGTGGCTATTTAGCTTTTTAGGGAACAAGTTGTACTGCTACTACCGAAATTACAAAAACAGTTGGATACTTTCCAAAATGTCTAAATCCAAGTACAACACCTGATATAGGATAAAGGCTTGAGGAAAAAGTAAAAAAAAAAAAAAAAAAAAAGAATTCAAAGACTGTGATTGTATAAGTTTGTTGATTATTAACAGCATTTACTAATTCAGGAGTGATAATAATGATAAATGAAAACATAAATAGAATACGAAATAATTTCACAAAATGGGTGCAATTTTAAAATTCCCTCAAGGATACTTATGTTCATGAAGATATTGAATAGACACCATGAAAATAGTTTTTGCCTCAATAACCTGTTTTACATTTGTTTACATTTTAATAGTCATAATAACAAATCAAAAGGATTAAACTGTTAGCCCCAGCAGTCATCATAGACAAAAAATAATTCCGGATGGGTTATAAATCTAAATTTAAAAGCTAAGGCTATAAAAGCTAAAACTATAGCATTTCTAGATGAAAACATAAATATTCATGATTTCAGAGTGAACAAGTTTTTTTTTTTTAGTCAAGATTTAAGTGTTAAGAACAAGAAAAAATATTAATAGGTAAAAGTTTATCAGTATTAGAAACTACTGCTCTGTACAGGCAGGTTAATAATGTAATATATTTGACAATACACAAACTGAACAAGAAATTGTATCTAGAAAATAGTTTTGAAAATACCCACAAATTATTACAAGCGAGAGAAAATAACTCAATTTTTAAAAATTGGGCTAAAGACTTTAACAGGCACTTTATAAAAGAAGATAGCTGAGTGGCACATAATAAGAAAGTATCTCCATGGCACATTATTAATTATAGATGAACTGCAAGTTAAAACTTCAATGAGATAGCCCACCCACCCAAACGTTCCATTACGAAAACAGACAATAACAAGTGATGCCAAGAGTGTGGTACGACGAGAACTCTCCTACGAAGCCGGTAGGAGTCTAAAACAGTGCAATCAAGATGGAAAATTCTTTTTCAGTTGTCATCCTATGACCCACCAATTCTACTCCTAGGACATTTGACTGCAAGAAAAGTGAATGCGTTTTTCACATAAGATGACTTCTCTAAAGATATTTGCGGCAGCTTATTCATAAGAGCCCAAAATAAAAAATCCCATCAATGTTCATCAACAGGAGACAGGAAAAACAACCTGTGATCTAATTCTTACGGGGAAATAATTTGATGAAAAAATACTATCAATACTTTTAAAACATGGGAAAGTCTCAAAAGCCTGAGGGAAGAAAGAAGTCAGATGCAAAAGAATACATGTCAAGTTAAGGAGCAGTCCATGGTGATAAAAATCATAGTGGTCGCTCATGGGGGTAGTGAGCAGGGAGATGGGGGCTTGTCTGGATAGGAGCATGAAGAAACTTTGTGGAGTAATAGAAATCTATATCCTGATCTGGATATTACTTACTCAGGTACATAGATGTATCACAGTTCATGGGACTGTATATTTAATGTTTATGCTCAATATGTAAAGTACATATGAATAAAGTACTGTTAAGAAAATTTGAGAGACAAACCAGTTCTTCCTATAACATAACTGTATCAAAATGAAACCAAAACAAAGTCAATTAAATTTGGCCTTCTTTCATTTCTTGACTACAACTACAAATAAATAGGTAATATAGGGAGAAAAGGGGAACATGTTAAACACCATTGCAGTGATGCAATCAGACTGAAACATACTGTAGAAAACTACAAAAACAAACTATTCAGTTTCAGTAACAAACACATTCCAAGGAAAAAGAAAAGACACACATGGAATTAAGCCTATCAACTTCTAACAATATGAAAATTTTATTTGGATCCTTTTAAAACAAATGCTTCAAATTTAATATATATTTTATAAAATATAGAACTTACAGGAAGATTGAAAGTTTAAATACTAATGAAATGTTTGAATATACTAGAATATTTTTGTTTAAGTTTGAGATATAATTGCAATTATGTTTATGTTAGAAGCTAGATCTAAAATATTTATAAGAATATATGTTAAAAATATTCCTTAATAAAAGTGAAGTTTCCATCAAAATGTTTGGATGACAGCTGTTCTATAATGAGAAAAAAAAGAGATAAAGGGAAATAATTACATAACATATCTGTTGCACATAAATCATAAATATTTTACTATGTAAAATTTGATGTAGTATTTTGACTTATATGAATATAAACATTTATTTGTCTTCTAATAAATTTGAGAAAGTTTATTTGAACTATACAACTCTTATATTATCTTAAAGATGACCTCACAAAAAGAGTAAACATATTTTGTCCATTATCAATAAGTATTTGAAATATTCTTAATTTTAAAAATCAATTCTAAAATGACAAACAGGAAACAAAACCTTTTAAAGATGTTGAAGGCATGTGGTAATTTGCTCATATAATTTGTTCAAGGAACACAAGTCTAGCTACTCACCAGACAAAAAGCTGAACGATTAACATAAAAATGTATGACATCTATAAAAGTTAATAGCCATAACATCAAAAGCTGGCAAATATAAGAGCTGAATAAAAATGAGAGCTACAGCCTGACAACTATTTACTTCACAATCTAGAAACAATTTCTTGAGAGGCTTTGAGGTTTTGTTCCAAATTCTTCATCTTGTTTATTTTAGTGAGACTTAATTTATTACTTTGGAGAAGCATATTGATATCAAATAGGAAAATTAATTGAAATATGTATGCATAAATCTATAAATACATTTTACTTATATGTTGTATCATTTAATAAAATATAATTTCCTTAATTTTATGTTGTATCCATTTACATCATGGCTACAATACTTATAGAATGTTAAATCCCTTTTTTCAATGAAAAAGATGTTAGAAAGTATCAAGCATTGTTGCAGGTTATTCTGCCAACACTACCCTTTTTTTATAAGCAACACAATCTGTTATTTTTTAATCATGTCAGTCAGATCTAGTTGTAGATTTTTGTCTCTCAGGATAACTAATCTCTACTTGCAATGTAAATGTAATCTTAATAAAGCATTCATAAGACAATGAGTTAAATAAATGTGTGTATAGTAATTTACTAATATAGATATTATAATATGTGATCCTTGAGAAAATTACACTTTGCAATTGAAAAAGACAATTCTGATTAGATTGAATTTCTCATCAGATGAAGAGCTCAAATTTGCTCATTTTTCACCAAATGTAAAATATCTTCTGAAATCAAGGCATGTATGACAGTTAAACAATCAATTTTTTTTTAAATTTGGCCAGGTGCAGAGGCCCATACCTGTGATTCCTAGCACTTTGGGAAGCCAAGGTATCACTTCAGGCCAGGGGTTTGAGACCAACCTGAACAACATAAGGAGACCCAGTATATAGAAATTTTTTATTTAATTAGCTGGCTAACTGTATTCATAGATATTTCATTTTTTTGTAGCTATTGTAAATGAGATTGCGTTCTTGATTTGACTCTCAGCCTAAATGTTATTAGTATATAAAAATGCTAGTGAGTTTTTGTACATTTATTTTATATTCTGAAAACTTTCAAAAGTTGTTTATAAGTTCCAGCAGCCTTTTGGCAGAGTCTTTGGGGTTTTCTAACTATGGAATCATAGAGAAGAGAGATAGTTTGACTTATTCTTTTTCTATTTAGATCCCTTTATTTCCTTCTCTTGCCTGATTGCTCTGGCTAAGACTTCCAGTAGTATGTTGAAAGATCTCCACAATAAGAACTATAAAACACTGGTGAAATAAATCAGACATAACAAAAATACATGGAAAAACATTCCATGTTCATGGATTAGAAGAATCAATATCATTGAAATGGCCACAGCGCCCAAAGCAATGTACATATTCAATGTTATACCTATCAAACTACCAAGGTCATTCTCACAGAATTAAAAAAATAAAACTATTCTAAAATTCACATGGAACCAAAAAAGAGCACAAATAACCAAAACAATCCCAAGCAAGAAGAATAAAGCTAGATGCATCACATTACTTAACGTCAAACTATACTATAAGGCTACAGTAACCAAATAGCATGGTATTGGTACAAAAACAAACAGATCAATAGATCAGAATAAGAAACAGAAATAAAGCCCCACACCCTATAACCATCTGATCTTCAACAAGGCTGAGATAAACAAGCATGCAGAAGAATGAAAGTGGACCCTTAAATTTTACCATATACAAAAATTAACTCAATGTAGATTAAAGATTTAAGTGGAAGACCTCACACTATAAAAAACCCTAGAAGAAAACCTAGGAAATTTCCTTATCAACATTGGCCTTGACAAAGAATTTTTGGCCAAGTTCCCAAAAGCAATTGCAACAAAACCAAAAATTGACAAATGGGAGCTAGTTAAACTAAAGAGCTTCTGCATTTAAAAAAAACAACAAAAACAACAACAACAAAAAGACTATAAACAGAGTAAACAGACAACCTACGGAACAAGAGAACATATCTGCAAACTATGCATCTGACAAAGGTCTCATCTCCGGAATCAACGAAGAACTCAAGTCAACATGTAAAAAACAGATAACTCCATTTAAAAATGGGAAAAGGACATCAACACTTTTCAAAAGAAGACATACAAGTAGCCCACAAACATATGAAAAAATGCTTATCATCACGAATTAGAGAAATGCCAATCAAAACCACAATGAGATACCATCTCACACCAGTCAGAATGGCTACTATTAAGTAAACTATAACAGATGTTGATGAGGGTGTGGAGAAAGCTGAATGCTTACATACTTTTGGTGGGAATGAAAATTAGTTCAGACACTGTAGATAGCAATTTGGAGATTTCTCAAAGAACTTAAAATAGAGCCACCATTCTACCTAGCATTCCCATTACTAGGCACATACTCAAAGGAAAACAGATCCTTATACAAAAAGATACATGCACCCAAATGTTCATTGCCATAGCACTGAACATGAAACATCACAAGAGCAAAGATAATGAAATCAACCTAGGCGCCTATCAATGGTAGATTGGATAAAGAAAATGTGGTACATATACAACATCTAATACTACACAGTCATAAAAGAATGAAATAATGCCATTTGTGGCAAACTAGATGGAGCTAGGGTTCATCATTCCAAAGCAAATTAATGCAGGAACAGAAAGCTAAATACTGCATGTTCTCATTTATAAGTGGAAGGAAAACATTGAACATACATAGACCTAAGAATGGGAATAGACACTGAAGACTACTGGAGGAGGGAGAAGGAGGGGGCATGCATCGTAAAGCTACCTATTGGGTACTATACTCACTACCTGGGTGCAATATACCCATGTAAAAAACCTGCACATGTACCCCCTGTATTGAAAATAAAAGTTGGCATTTTTAAAATAATTTTAGGACACTTCAAGCATATATGATTATTAACTATGTTACGTCATCATGTTGTACATTTCCAGAACTTACTCATTTTATACCTGCAAGTTTTGTACCTTTTGATCAATATCTTCCCCTTCTCATCATCTACCTCCTGAATTCTGATGATTTCTTTTTCACAGTTTTTATGTTTAAATACATAAAGTCTATTTCTAAAAAAAAAAGAAAAAAAAATATTGGCCAGGCTCGGTGGCATGTATGTTCCTGTAGTCCCAGAGACACAGAGGATTGCTTGAGCCCAGGATTTCGAGGCTTCAGTAAGCCATGATTGAGTCCAGCCTGTGCAAAAGTGCAAGATCCTGTCCTAAAAAAATTAAATTTAATAAAGTAACAAAAAGGAACAATGTTCCTTTTAATATAATATGAAATTTTCATAATATATATATTTAGGATGTCTATATGTCTAGTAAAAAAATAAATTGTCATTAAAATTGAGAGATTCAGGTATGTTCATCTCCTCCATACCAGGCACTGGCTTCACATCTCTTGATCCACCAAAGAAACTTCTGGGAATAAATGTGGCACAGAAAAAAAGAGCACAAAATTAGATCAGCTATGAAATATTTGACAAGTTTTTTCTTTCCTTCCCTCTCTTCTTTTGTCGTCCTTATTCTTCCTTCCTTCTTTTCTTCCTATTACTAGATGCACACACACCTTATATTAAAACAGATAACTTAATAGCATTTATAACATTCTAATTTAAGAGTATTAAAGTTATTCACAAATAAAATGTATCATGTAATGTGTAAATATTTAAGGAAAATATTGGAAGAATATACTTTTTGTTTTTTTTATTTTATATGAGAATTACAAGTTTAAGTGCTTGCAATAACCTGGTAGAGGCAATATAGTCTAATCCCTCATTTTATATATATTACGGGACTTAGATTCAAAAAGTGCTGGGACAGAAAAATCTTAACTCTTTTTCTTCTCAAAAGAGTACTTGCTGTGTTTCATTCTTACTTCTTCCATATTTTATTTTCAGTTGTCTTTTTCATCCCTAGCTGCCAAACTTAATTACCTAGTTATCAGAATTTATTTTCTTCCATTCTGTAATCTAAGCAGAGATCCTTTCTCTTTAGTCATATCCTGGGCTTTAGCTGTTAATTGTTTCCAAACTAGATCTATAGTGTTACATTTCTGTTTGACCTATGATTTTACGTTAATTTTTCATGCATTCTAACATTACCATTTAATAGTTTGCTCAGTGGAACATTTCTTCAGTAGAATGTTGATAAATACATCTAAAAATGATTCAATCAAAAATAATCTTAGTAGCTTTATGTTTGAAGTAAATGTCTAAGGTTCTTTAAAACAGGAATTCTTAGAGCTTTTTATATAAGATTAAATCTCTATAAAGGTGGCATACCACATGTGGCACTTTCTTTTCTTTCATGTATCTCTCTCAACTCACTCCTTTAGTTTTTAAATAAATATGTGATCTACTGTTCTGATAGCCCATTTTGTGTAAAACGGTATTAAAAGAAAAACAATATTCTAAAAGTAGCTAATTTTATTTGAGGATTATGCACATTATGCACTAAATATATGTGTTTTATATTATATATGCCATTGCCAGGTACTCTGCAAAATGTCTATCTCTAAGTGTTTTATGGCATTTCAGCCGAAGTGTCTGTGTTAGAAATCATAAGATTCAAGAAGGCCTCAATTTTACATAATACACATACGAACATGTCTTTAGTAGTTAAATGCCAGATATTTATATAATTATTATTGCAAAAACTGTTATCAGATACTGTTCCAAGTGCTTTACATATGTAATCTCATTTTATTTCATATTTTGTTAGAGTGATATTTTATTTAAAATTTTTATTTGTATAACTTTATAAGGTACAAGTGTAATTTTGTTACATTACATAGTGGTGAAGTCAGGGCTTTTAGTATATATATCATGGCAATAATCCACGTCGTATCCATGAAGTCATTTCTCATCATCCAGGCCCCCCTCATTCCCCCATTTCATAACATCTTAATGTGATAGTTGTTATCACAACTCTATGTGATTATCTCCACTTTGTATAGGAGAAAACAAAGCTTCACAGATACTAAACTGCTTATTCAAAACCTCTCAGGTTACAAGTGGCAGAACAGAACTTGAAGCTAGATCTTTTTAAGTCTAACGTTTATAGCATTTTTTTCATTAGGCTCTTTCAATGCCCTATGAGAAAACCAATCAGTTCCTTAAGCAAGAACATAGAAATATTAAACTAAGTCAATTAATCTTCATTTGTTTTTATATTAACTGTAGCAAATATTAGATATATGAGACCTAATGTATCTTTTAGACATACATAAGATCTATATATAAGATAAAAATTAAGATATTAAGAGAAATCTTAAATATGTTCTTTGAAAAGCAGTAACTCTATCCATATTTTAGATATGCTATTTTGGTTAGGCAACAGAAATATAAATAGATTCCACTTTTAAAGTATAACAAATAAAGTCTTTCTAGAGAGCACAAATTATTGACACATTCTAAAGATACGTTATTTCTAAACAATTATGAGGGAAGAGTTTCATTACAGTCTGGTTTACAAATTGAAAATACCATTATAAAATAATACTGAAGCATGGAAAGTGAAATAAATTATGCGTACTTATCAAATATGACTGCAAATTTCCTCATAAGGATACTAAACAAATTTAATGATAAAGTTATATTTGAAAATCAAACACATTTTGTAAGAAATATCCTATTTATAAAAACTGAACAAATAGAACAAAAACTATCATATGAAATATTGAGAATTTGGATATTAGATATTTCAAAGACAAATATTAAATTTTCAAAGACAAATATTAAAATTTTTAATATTAAAAATAAATTTGTTATTAAAAATAACAAATATCCCTTTCAATAGATTCTAAATTTCATTAATCTTTTATTTACAAGAGTTCTCATCTGTTTTTCCTTATATTACATATTTCAATTAATTTGTATTATCTTTCACTCTTATTTCCCTATTTATAAGCACTGTGCAATTATTTCACTTAGTACTCTCGAATTTCATTATCACATAAAAGATTCTCATGATTCATTAATGAGTCAATTGGAAGAATAGCTAACATTTACCTACTGTTAAGTGCTATATATATAAAATTTTATTTTATATATTATATATTATACATATATGTATTTTATATATTATTTAATATTTTATATATATAATTTTGTCCCTTGTATGTACTAGTATTAGTCTTATTTAACAAGAGGGAACTGAGGTGCTGATTGTACAGTAAGCCCAAGGTAACATGGCATGTAGATACTAAAGAGGGCAATGGAAGCTGGGTTTCTGGTTACAGAGTTTGTTCTCTGGCTCTTCTACACTGAGTTAGCATGGTCAAATTTAAAATGTGAGCAACAGCAAGGGTCTCAGATTTTACACTCATGTATTTATTTTAAGAGATTTTAAATAAATAATCCCCCTATTCTATAAATTTTTAAAGCAAAAATAAAATTAGTCACTGCAAAAAAATCTAGAAATGACTGACACTAAGCATTACAATAAAACATGATGTGAGCTATACATGTCAGGAGATTATAGTAAAAATAAAACTGGAGAGTTTTGATTTAATGTCACTAAAACTTGCTTTGAAATGAAGAGCAGTAATGTCTATTTTGAGTTTCCTAAATTGCAAATTTGCATTCACATGTTTCTAACAACTTCTATTCCCCACATTACCCTAGCTGGAATAGAATGATAATATTACCAGATACTATTCTCTTTTGAAAACATGGACTCTTGTCCATGACAAATAATTGTAACATATATCAGGAAGGAAAAAAGTCTGAACTAGCATCATTATACAATTCTTTCTACTAATGTTAGAATAAAAGCTGCTGTCACAGTTGGAAGCCAGCTGGAGGGCTAATTTCCCTCCAAAGAACACGCAAATAAGTTCAATGATTAAAGTTTTAAAGATGTATAGGAGTTCAATATCCTTGCTCTCTCTACCTGGTTTTCTTCAGTCACTAATCCATAATCCATTAAGATTTAAGAGATCCAACTGAATTAGTCTTATTAGAAATTCACATTCCTTTAAACTTATATCTCAACAAAAAGAAAAGTTCTCAGATACAAGTTATGTGGTCCTTTATAAGGACACGAATATATTCACAATACAACTCCAAGTATTTAATTTAAAAAGTTAACTTAGAAGAAGACCAAGCATTGTGTTTCATTATGCCAAAAATATACATTCTATTTTGAGCTAACATGCCACTTTTAGTTAACTTACTCTACATACTGCTTATAACTTCTTCCCATCATTCCTTTAATTTATGTGATTAACCCTGTAAACACAGTCACAGCATGCTTCTTAGATGAAAATGATATTTTAAAGGCTACTAAAAAGTAGCAAATGTAAATTTAAAAAAATCTGCATAGTAAATTTTTATTGTAGATGTCTTCCTCTTCTTAAGTCAAGCATTTTGAAAGGCAATTATTCAAAAACATTATGAGAACAAACTAAAGGCAATAATTCCTTATTTGTGTAATATTAAAGAATTATTTTGAAAAATTACATTATATTTAAATTTACCTGAAATTTGAATAAATATAATGTAATTTTAATAAGAAATAAAAAATATTAGGCTGATTACTTTGATGAGGGCATTTCTCAGAAAATACGTTTGACAACTGAGAAATCATGGAAGTTTGAACTCAGGCTTATAAACTACCAAATTTCCCTTACTCTTACAAATAAAATTAAAAAAAACAATCTAAGAAGTGATAAGAAAGCAGATTGCAAAAGAAGTGAAAAGTTAAGCCCAGTCAGGTTATATTCAGGCTTGGCTTGTTCAACTGTGATGTGTGAAGTCAAATTTGCACCTGTCCTGGGATCTGTGTGTGTTGGCAGGGGACGCTGGGACCCGAGCTCACACACTTTACAGAGCTGCATTATCAACCAATAATGCAACCTTTGACATGTCACCATTTCACAGTATGTTGAAGTCTGACGAAATGGAAACCACTAGAATGTACAACTGAATAATTTACAGGACTCAAAGGCCAAAGTCTTTCTCTTTCCCACACTGTCCCCTACCACCATGTGACTGTGAAATGTATCACCAAGTGATGGATGGATAGAGGGAGAACAAAGGATTGTGAGCAAAAATATTGGAACTTTTTTATTTTTGAATTAACATGATTCTTAACAAAAAGCATATGTACTCAGTTGGTCTCAATAAAATATCTGAGAATTTTTTTTTCCTGAACATCCTCTAACTTTAAACTTGGTGATAATGCACACATTTTAGAGGCAGTTATGTTCTTTTGCAGAGAAGCCAAAAAGGCTTCTATACTATGTCACCCTGCGACAGAGGAATGAACAGAGGAGTCCTCAGAGTGCTGCCTTGGAATCCTGCCACTGTGTGATGGCAGCTGGTGATTAATAATCTTCAACGAAATAGTAATTCAAGCAGGACTCGGCAGGCCCACCAACTCTAGGGTTCTAACAGTAAAATCAGTATCCACTAATTTTCAATAGTCCTTAAAATATGCAGTCATCCTACAATCAGTTGTTTGTATAATACCTGATAAAAGACCTATGCAAGACAGGCAGCCTGTCCAATTTATGATTTATCAGGCACCAATTTTTAACATAATTCTCCAAGCATGAATTCATTCTTATCAACCCATTTTTTTCAGAAAACAGAAGGTGCTCATCACTTACTCTACTATGATGTACTCAAAAAGTTCTTATGCAAATATAATATTGTTAAATGGATACTTACATGACAAAACCAGATGCAATAAACTCTAGTAAATAAAATGACTTTTCTAAGGATTAATTGGTAGCAACATGGTGTACCTGAAATCATTGAAATACTGAAGATCATTTTCAATCACTAAAAATGTATTTCAAAAATGTTAGTTGTATTGAAATGTTCCCTAATAAAAATTAGCTTAAAATTGTATATATTTTTGTAAGGATTTTTACCCTGGAGATTATATAAAAGTTTTCAACGTATTTTCTTTCCTAAAGGTATAGAGTGAATTCCACAAGAATTTGAAAAAATTCCATAATTTCCCATAGCTCAATTAAAATACAAACAACGCAGATTAAAACCCCAAACTTCAAATATTTAAGGAAAAAAAAACTTTCCGAATAACACCTAAAATCCCAAGAAACTTATGAGAAATAACAAAGAGATGTTCCTATACTTAAATTTGATTAAGAAACAATAAAGACATATATAACCTCAGAAGAGAAGATACAGCAAATATATCTAAGTTACAAATATCGGGAGTCTAAGGGCAACTGAGAGCATATCTTTAGTCTCAAGGATACACATAAACAAACTAGACTGCCTTCCTTTAGCCATCACAATTTAAAAACAACAGCCGAAATCAAACTCAAAGTGCTGCTTGCTCAAAGGTCCTGCTTACTTTGAGGCAGTAGATACAAAGTATTTTTGTGTCTGTGGATTTTTACCACTGTTTTTTATGTCTGGAAACTTTGGCTCGGATACCAAGCAAATATTGTAGTTCAAGACAATTAAGTATTCTCACCCAGAACCCTATTTCTCTACGTCACAAAATCACCATGCACTTGGCATTCCTGGCAGCTTTTGGCACAGTGACTGTGGGTCAGAGCTGAGAAGATCTGGCAATGCAGTTTGGGGAAAGCTTCTTTATTGCAGCTGCAAATACTTCTGTCTGACCCAGTGAATCAACTTAAATCTCTCAATTTCTCTCTCTCTCTCTCTCTTTCTCTCTCTCTCTCTCTCTGTCTCTCTGCAACGAATGCATGCGAATTAAAATTCAATTTTAGATATTACACTGAAATACAAAATCAGTGACTTTTCAGTATGGCCTGCAATGTCTGAAAAAAAAAAAAAAAGAAAAAAAAAAGAAATGTTTCTAATATATTTTCCCTGTCATTTAGTTTCTTCCATCTTATTAAAATGCATTAACATATGTGCCCCAAACACTGCTTTGACTGCTTTCATTTTCTGTCCATATCTTCAAAAATTGGTATTTATTTAAGTAATGATTTAGAATGTTAAATGTTAATCAGTAATTTGCCTCTTAGTATTTTTTTCTGGAAGTGTGTGTTTCTACACCTTCCTCTATGTCTTTGCAGCATTATAAAGTGACATCTTGGTTGTACGTGAATAAAACACAGATTTTGTTCAAATGCAAAAGGGCACATGTGCCAATAACCTTGAGTGTTAAGCAAATGCAGTACTTTGTGGCAGCCATAGCTGTGGAAGTTTTAAGAGTGCCCTAGGAACAATACAGTTACAATATTCAGCTCTGACATGATTCTGTTGTACATCACCTTGGAAAACATTAAAAGTTCAAATTTTTAAATTTGTAGAGAATAAATAAGACATAAGACTCCTATGTCCTTTTATAATACTGTAGGCCCACCAATCACATGTGGCCCAGGACGGCTTTGAATGTGGCCCAACATAAACTCGTAAACTTTCTTACAACATTATGAGTTTTGTTTTTTGTTGTTTTTTTTTTTGCAATTTTTGTTTTCTAGCTCATTAGTATATTTTATATGTGGCCCAAGACAATTCTTCTTCCAATGTGGCCCACAGAATCAAAAAGATTGGACACCCCTGCTATAGACGATGGTAAAAACAGAGAGAAGAGAGGTAAACTTGTGCTTATCTATTTCAGTTCTGCCGATTTCCTCTCTTTTGTGAAAGTAATAATCTTGATGGTGATTCATATAGTGAAAATGCCAAATTCTCCAGCATCAGAAAAAAAAAAAAATAGTAGAATGCAGTTGACTTGGCAAAATGATGATTTCTGTGTATTTAGAGCACCTTTAGTTAAGTTTAGGATAAACTGGTAATTTTGTTTTTAGCTTTTTAACAAATATGGCCATTATGCCCTTAAGTTTAATCTATGGATATTCTGGTCCTTTGAAAATGTAAATACATTTAGACACAAGCTGTACCCCAAAATCATTATTCAATCTCTTCAAAACCTCAAACCTGAGATAATCAGAAATCCTTACCTCATTTTTTCTCCATGACATCACAAATAATGATTGACTCAAGAATAGTGGAAAACAGAAGACAGAGAGAAGGTACGAATATATAAACCAGGTAGTTAGGATCTAGGAATTCGTTATATGTAGTTGAATGAAAAATTTGTTGCTATCTAACAAAATGAAAATCTTCTTCTCCCTTCCAACCTCTCCATCTGGCTCTTTTGTTTGTTCCCTTTGTTGTGTCTCCCAGGAGTTCTAAAATGCACCATTTGCTCTTTTAGAGGCAGTCTAATTTTCCAAATTTAAGTTGTATTTTCATAAAGCTACTGAGAAACAAAGTTTTTTTTTCCCTTTCACATTATAGGGGAAATACTTATTGAGATGTGTCTGCATACTCAATATACTGTGTTCTTGGCAACAAACATCAAATCAGAAAAATACAATGAAAAATTGAACATACATTAGCACTTATTATATGCTCAGAATGTGTGTCATGCACCAGAAAGAGCTTATGGCCCTGGGTTCAAAGTCCAAGCCTGTCACTTCACGTCTGTGGGACTTGGGTGCTGCATGTTCACTGACAAAGATTTAATTGGCTTACTTATGTAGGGGATTTGGTGCTACATCTGTCTCATCAATTCAAGTGCCCTTCTAAGTTACTGTTAATTTTTCCCATTGTATCTTGGCAGTAAATGATTTTATATTCTTATAGATACTAGGGGATAAATTAAAATATGAAATGAAATAATGAAATCCGAAATTATTTTGCCATGCCATAAAGAGAAAACACTGTAAAAATTGTTAATTAACCCAATCTACTTTCAATGTATAATTTGTAGTCATGGTCTTTGGCTATTTCTTCCCTTCCTTCACTTCTTCCTTCCCTTCCTTCACTTCTTCCCTTCCTTCCCTTTCTTCACTCCTTCCCTTCCTTCCCTTTCTTCACTTCTTCCCTTCCTTTCCTTTCTTCACTTCTTCCCTTCCTTTCCTTTCTTTTCTTTCTTTCGAGACAGAATCTCGCTCCGTGGCTCAGGCTGGAGTGCAGTGGTGCGATCTCGGCTCACTACAAACTCCGTCTGCAGGTGCAAGTAATTCTCATGTCTCAGCCTCCAGAGTGGCTGGGATTATAGGTGTGTGCCACTATGACCAGCTCATTTTTGTATTTTAGTAGAGACAGGGTTTTGCATTGTTGACCAGGCTGGTCTGAAACTCCAGGCCTCAAGTGACATGCTTGCATCAGCCTCCAAATTCTTGGGATTACAGGTGTAAGCCACTGTGCCCGGACTGGTCTTTGAATTTCTAAGTGCATAAAAACCATATAAAGGAATGAAAATACAAAATTAAAAACTATTTCAGTGGAAAAATAGGTAAACTGATGCCCTTTTAAAGAATTATTTTAATATGTGATAAAAGTGATAATAGTCTAATTCCAAAAAACAGCTAATTGTACTTAGCAAGGATGCTAAAAGATATAAATTTTAAGGCCATGTTCAGATTTTAAAGCGCAAAGTCTTCAAATTTAAATGACCTTTGAAATAGTGAATACATGAAGTGTTTGAAATTCTGAACATCAATGAAATATATTTTAGACAGAACAAAGCATTCATTATTTCTAATTATTATTAAAAACTGAGAACCTTTCAGCCTTTTAAATGTGAAGACATTATTTGTAGTTGATTACAGTAACACAAAGTGTTTTCTTGGGCAGAAAAAAATTGAACACAAAATCAAGCATATCCAATACCCTTGAAAAGCTATTAAAACGTTCATTGGGGAAAGTGTTCTTTTATCAACAGTTTCTCTTGCGACTAAATGAAATATCCTATATCAATGTAGATATCAGAGTTTTGGATTTGATACAAGATTTGACAATATCCTAAAAATCTATTCAATATACTTTCCATGCAGAGTTGAAGATAGGCAAACAGATATGAAAGTAAAATTGTTTAATGTTAAAAACATGTTTTGTTCAGCTGCAACCCAAGTTAAATAAAAACTCTACTTAAAACAAAAAGTTAAAACTCTTATGTACAAATGAGACTTCTCTATCACAATTACAGGATTTCTAATTTAAAAAAATAATTTAAAAAATGAAAACAACATTTGAAAGTATTTAAAATTATTTTCCTAATTAGAAATCCTGTGATTGTAAGAGAAGTATCATTTGTACATAAATGTTTTAAATTTTAAAAAGATTTAAATTTTAAAAACACATAATAGAACCTAACCTGTTATTTACAGGTAAAATAACTCAAGGGTTTCATTCAAGTCCTGACTAACGATAGATAATCCTAGAGCTCAGTAAACCAGCACTAAGCCCTGGGCCTTTGCTTTATGTCACATTCTAAATTAAGGCTTATCTATCCATCATCTCAAATCAGAGTTTACTTTCTACCCTTCCTTCTGGTGTTGTATGGACACTGATCTGAGTTCTATAGTTTTTGGAAGATACATATTGTTATCTAAAGCATGATTTTTATTATGTTGACTTTGAGAGCCTTTAGCAGATATCTGAATTTTGGGGCTTTAGGGAACATTACAAAACTCATTACTTCTGAAAGAGAAACAGGAAAAAAAGAGAAGAACAGAGAGATAGATCTCTTGTTTTTTTCTTTTTTTTTTTCTCATTATACTCATTAATACTCACTATAAAAAAAGAAGGAAATAGTTCCTTCCTGGAATATGATAACCCTTTATACAGAAGCTTTGTTATTTATTTTAGTTCACAATTTCAATGCATAGAATACATTAATTAATCCCACACATGGATGTTGTCTACAATTGGATTATAGTTTAAAACCATCTAATTTAGTAAGCATTTATAGTATAACTTACTAATCTTTCCAGCCTCCGTAATGTATTTTCTTCCTACTTCACTCTTATCAATGCCTAATTCCATCACAATAAAATGCCTCACTAGAGGAAACTGACAAACTATTAATGTTACAAATACCTACTTTCGGTTAAGAATAAAAAGAAGACACAAGCCATGCTCTAAAGATGTTTAGGATTTAGCGAGCTAAAACCAAGAAAAAGGCTGATTACAGTATAGGAAAATAGTTCCTGCATTAAGCATAGGATGCTGTGGAAGAACTAAAGAGAGGAATCCTTAGGACAACACATCAGGTTAAGGAAAGCTTTCATATGTAGCAAAGGCTAAGTCCCTAAAGAAAATGACACTTGAGCAGTTACTAAAGAGTGAGAAGGTTTTCGTGGGGCAGAAAAGGAGAGACTTGTTATTTCAGTGGGAACTACAAGTCCACTTACAAGTACAAATAACTGAGATATAAGAAGTTGAATCTAAGTACTCTAACTCATTATATGTGCAACACAGAATACACACGGAGTTTGTGATGAAGTACAAGGATGGAGAAATAAGCTATGCAAGCATCAGGGTAGCCATTTTTTATATTCTGCTCCCTCAAAACACATAATCAGAGCAGTAGATAACGGCTACACCATGTTCAACAGTGATTTCCTTATAGCCTATTTTGTAAAATGACAGATGTCTAGACCCGAGATTTCACAGTGGGAACATAGACAATATTGAGTGCAGAAATGTTTCCAAAATGAATAAAACAACATTTTATCACACTGTTATAATTATCTGAGCTCAGGAATTATTCTAACACTACTGTCCAAATGGATTCCTATAAGCATTGCATTTAAATTTTATAAATGTTGTTATATAATAATATAAAATATATAATTTATAATATAATTATATAATTTATAAATATGTATTATATAATATAATTACTGATTTTATTATATAATTACTTTCATTGTGTTATTGTGAATAAAACCTACAATTTTATCTTCCCTGTTCTTCCCAGTAAAGAACAAGAAAAAAAAAAAAGAAAAAACATATTTTAAAATATGTGCTTCAGTTATGTTAGTGATCTAACATTCAGCTATTAAAATTTTAAAAATCTAATTTTTATACATGTGTAGAACCCATTTTCCCATATACACACTAACAGGCTTATGCCTTTTTCTGTTCATCACTTCTTTATATATTGTTACAAACCCTTAACACGTTTTCTGGCTATTTGAGGAAAAGAAATTGTGTCTGACAGAAAGAAGCATGTTATATCCAATTCCATTTTCCACCTCTTTCCCCTTCACTTTTGACACCTTTCTGCAAACCTCAGTGCTTAATTGAATACCTAGGGGAGTCGCCTGTGAAACATTTTGAAGTAGTTCAATGGGGATGATTTATAGCAATATATAAGATGACAGATGTACTGAGGAGGTTTGAAATGATCTTATATGGTGTCCATACTAAGATGGAGCACCTGATACCATGGTACTATTTATTAACATTCCAAAATAATAGACCTTATTAAGATTCTCAGACTCTGACACCTATAAATGTTGCATATCTGAGGACATAGGACTGACCTTTTTCTTGGCATACATACGAGAAAAAAAAATTCAATGGGTTGATAAAGTACACTTTAAAACAACAAATTATTATTTCTACTGTTTAATCTGAGGTAACATATACAAAGACATGATGGAATATTTACTATTCCGTATTTTGTATCGTTTTTTCACTATTAACTGTATCTAGTGAGCCCTGGGATTATGAATATAAGAAACATCAAGTGATATTTCTGATTAAATATTGAAGGACTGATACCAGCAATTATTGCTTTTACCTCTCCAGCAGCCACCTGCCACCCCACAATTACTGGCACAAAATAAAATTCTAACACACAAAGAAAAAGTGAAAGGAAAATGATTAAAAGAAAATAAAAGATTTCAAGTGATTTGGAGACGACAGGAATCATAGCAACCAATTTAGGAGAATGGACAGTTTCATATTAAATGCCTTCAATGGGAGGAACAATAATAATAGATCCAATTTGCCCTCAGAGAAGCCCAGATTGGAGGCATGAGTCCCTGTGGAAGTTATGGGTGCAGGCATGGATGAAAACAAAAGTATTTGCTGAAAGTGTGTAAACAGAACAGTGGGGCCTGGCGCTATGGCTCACGCCTGTAATCCTAGCACTTTGGGAGGCCGAGGCGGGCAGATCGCCTTTCCTCAGGAGTTCGAGACCAGCCTGGGCAACACGGTGAAACCCTGTCTCTACTAAAATACAAAAAATTAGCTGGGTGTGGTGGCTGTGCCTGTAGTCCCAGCTACTCGGGAGGCTGAGGCAGGAGAATTGCTTGAACCTGGGAGGTGGAGGTTGTAGTGAGCCGAGATCGCACCACTGCACTCCAGTCCAGACTCAGTCTCAAACAGAACAGAACAAAACAAAACAACACAAAACAAAAAGAACAGGGAGGAATTTCCAGTGCCCTTCTTAATCTTTTACTGCTGTCATCTTTTTCCCTCTCCCATGCCACATAAGAGGAGAATGCTCTCTGGAGAAAATAAGTGGGAGCTGCTCCGTGATCATGGACACCAGAAGGAAACAGGCACCTTCTCCTGCTGGCTAATGAGAGCTGATTGTTGTATCCTTAGAAATGTGGTAAGCAATTGTTAAACATAGGCATTATTAATAATTAAATTATATAAACTCTCAATTATATTAAGGACAAAGATGATAAAATAAAAATTCTCATCTTCCTAATTATTTTACTATTAGCTATGCTCTCGATCATATTTTGTCTGTATCTGTATTAGTATGGTGGAAATACTATACAATACTATATAATGATGTGTCACTGCACATCTTTTAACTCTGCACTCAGTAAAATCACACTGATAGCTCAAATGAAATTGGCCATAGTGTCAATATTTACACACTTATGGAAATCAGCAAACACTACAAATCAGAGCTTGATTTATTGTTTTGTTGTTTGTCTAGGTTTAATAAAGTAATAGTGAAAATATAAATAATGCAGGCAAACCTAAAAGTGTGTTGTATCTGCTGCTCAAGGTGATATTTCAGTTTAGTAAATATACTTTTAGAAGAATGAGAAATAGTTTAACAGTAGAAAACATATCAGAAGAAATTTTCATAATTTTATTGTATAAAGAATTAGTGGGCTGGGATGCATCACCAATGGCCAAATTATTATTAAATTGCACAAATATGTTGGCTATGGATATAAGAAGTTAGCAAAAATCAGTGAAAGCATTCTGTGAGAATCAATTGGCTATAGAGAATGTACACTCAGCTAATAATTTACTAATAACAGTAAAATATTATTTGTTACACTTCTTTTATATTAGAAAAATTTACAATAAACACATATATATAACATATACACCTACATTTTAAGTTATGTTTTTGTTCAGCGAACCAACATTAATTAGCACATCACTGGAAAACAGGAACAAGTAGGTAAAAACGGAGAGATTTAAGTTAAAAATAGAGAATGTAAGCTAAAGTCTACTATGAAATTGGACCCTTAGCTTCCTTCATTCTCCCTGCTACCAGATGCTAACATCCACTGCCTCCTAAAATACTGTTTGTTGCCCATTCCATACGTATACTATAGATCTCTAGGTCCTTGATAATCTCTCATGTCTTATAACCTGTATCTAATTTTTAAAGTATGTTTAATGCTCTATTGTTGATTCTGCAAAATGTCTTCATATCAGTCTTCTGATCACTATGGTTCTCTTCAGCTGTGCTTATTCTGCTAACTTTCCAGTGAGTTTTTACCTTAGTTATTATATTTCCTATTTCCAGTTGTTCTCTGTTTTCTTCATGTGTTTTGTTTTATGTTTCCCTTTTCTCCTGATTCTGGCTGGTTGTTTGTGAATGTATTTTGCTTTTATTAATGATTTGACTCTGTCTTATTTGTTTAAACAAATTAACCATACCTATTTTATACTTTGCTTCTCATTTTTGTCTGCTGTCTCTCACCCATGGTCCCTTGATCCCTTGTGTATTTGATAATTGTTTTGTGATTTTGCTTATGTTGTGGTATCTTCTCTGTGAGAATCATAAAATGCATGGGTTGAAGATATAACACTCAAGGAAGATTTTACATATGTTTTTGTAAAATACTTGGGAAAGCCCTGAGTCCATTTTAAACTTAATCTAGGTTTATTTCCTCTGCACTATACAAATAACATGTGCTAAGGCTCCACTTCCACATGACAGCCTTCTCATACAATAAATTCTCAGAAGAGATTTTTCTCCACACTCCATCTAAAGTCAAGGCTGAGACAAATTTCATACTCCCCACTTCCCCTTTAATCGCTATGTTGTTTGGTGTTTTTGTGTTTTTCGTTTTAAACTTACTCCTACTGATAGTCCTTTGTGCATTCAAGATTACACAACCTGAGAGAAAACCCCAACCACCCATGGGCCCAAATCTCTTTTCCATACGCATTGCAAAGGTCCATGAAAAGCTTTACATTAACAATATTATACTTAATGATTAAAACCTTGTTAAAGGTTACATTTTGTGTGATGCTCTTACCACAATATTTAAAAATCTCTAGGCCACTCAGGTTCTGATTATAGATACCCCCATGCTAAGTGACATCTTCAGGATTAATACTATCTTCATTTGTCATATGGCTTGGTGTTGGACTTAAATGAGTGATTGAGTTACTTATTTTGCTGAAAGCTCATCAATGCATCAAAAATATTATTTTTGTATTTTATGCAGTATTTTAGGTATTTTGTAGCAAGTGAAAATTAGGATATCTAGACTTCCCTGATGCCAAAAATCAGATCTCTAAGTATAATCCTGTAAAACAGAATTTTAAAATGTAAGTGAAAAAGCAAAATGTACACAGAATAAAAGATTCAAATAAAAAAATCTTGAAGTACATGGCTAATCGTTTTAGGTATTATCAATTATCTATTTTATTTCTGATTTTTTGTATTTTTCAAACATTCCTCCAACAGATTTATATTGCATTGGAGATGAGAAACAGTCGCAATTTTACAATAATATAGGCTAGCATAAGAATCACTTTGTACCAGACATCGTTGTAAATGCTTTACATTTATTAGCCCACTTGATTGTCACAATAGACTCCTGAGGTAACTAATATTGTTATTTTCAATTTACAGATAAAAAATCTAGGGCTGAAAAATTTTGTCAAGTTCATAAAGTTAATAAGTGATTGGTTGGGTTTTTTTAAATGCAGGCTTTCTTGATATAAAGCCTGTGCCCTAACCACTGTGTATTACTATCTCATAGTATAAATCGAAACACTATTTCCCTGGTTCCAATTCAAATATCCCTTACTTAGAGGCAATAGTCTGAAGACTCTCTTTCTACTTTTGCCTCTAATTATCTACTTGATCTTCAGTGACTCACATATTTTCTCAGACCTCATTTTCCTCAAGTGTAAAATTAGTGATTTAAGCTAGATTAATCTCTGAGGATCTTCTAGCTCTAAGATTTTGTGATAGCACAATCCTATTAGACAATTATTTCTTGAGTATCATGAAATTGCAAATTAACCATTTAATTGAAAAATTAATGTGAAAAACTTTTAAATTAAAGAAAAAATTAATATAGTCAAGCATTCTAAGATTTAATAATGTAAGCTCTCAGGAATCAAGATAACTTTCAGTATATAAAAATACTGAATATTTCTCTCCTAAATGATGGCAGGAACATTAAACAAAAATATACTTTCAGGCTTTTTAGCATATAAAGATATTATCACAGTGAGAAAATGAATTACTCTAAAAAGGTATACCACCAAAAATTTAAGTTAACTTGAAAAATTTAGTGACTTTCTTAGTCTGAACTATTAAGGCGATAAAGTAACCAGAGGAAATCACAATATGTCTTTATCAAACTGAATTCTTCTTAGTATTACCTCTTTTTTAACCTTTCAGATTGTATTTATACTCTTCAAATTTTTTTCCTTTTTAATAAAATAATCTCATTCATAGTAGGTTTCTGTATGTATAAATCAATATTTAGTCTGTACTTGAAAGGTGAAAATATTCTCTATTATTGCTGAAAACAAGAGTATGGGGATATTTTAACCTTTTTTTTCCTTTGGTTGAAGATTCTTAAATGGTTCACAGTGGCCTTGTTTTCAAACATTCGAATTTACTGAGAGAAACTCTGAAAGGAAAAGTTTAAATGTAATGTTATCTCATATGACTTCCTGATAGCAAATCTATACCTCAAAACTAATTTGGAAAAAAATATTTTGATGAGAAATTCAATACGAGCATTCCATCAAGAGATATTTGGCTGTTATAGCTTGTCCAATCAAAAGACACAACATGCTAACCACAATCACTTTACATCCAGTGATCAAAACAGAATCTTATACTATTTTGTCATTTGAGAAAACACCATGGATCAATAACTGCAAATGCTATGAACTAAAAGTAGATAATAAAGCTATGAGAAATCACTCATAGCATGTTGTTGTGAGCGCAGCTTTGGAGCCAGACTGCCCGAGTTCCTCTCTTATACTTAATAAGATTGTTTGTGCCACTTTACTCCACCTCTGTGTGCCTTAAGTTTCTTGTGTATACTTTGGATAATTAAAACACTACGTCATAGGACTGTAAGGATTGAATGAGTTAATACATATGAAGAATGTAGAATAAGACATGGAACATAATTTATTTAATTAATGCTGAATATTGTGATGATGTTGCTGCTGTGCTACCTTATTGAATTGAAAGTAGAAAAGAATAATTATCTACAGTATGTTCTGCAGTCTATAATACCACAATCAATGATGCTTAACATAGTAAATTCTAGGAAGTAGCTTTACCGGATATGTTTATGTCATTGTGTGTATATGTGTGTTAGGTGTAGGGACTGCAGACTAACCTTTTATATAGCATGTTTTGAAAAAACTGCCAAAAATTATAATCTTATAGAATATGGTATAAAATATCAGTTACATTCATAAAGTTTTTTTGAATAATACATTCAAGTAAAAACTTGAGTTCCAACTCAATGGTTCTGCCTTTCACATAAACAGAAGGAACATGACTGTGGGTGTTAGCGGTGCCACAGCTTTTACTGTGGTAATTTCTCCAGGATAATCATAGCAGAAATAAAAATAAATAAATCTTGCTTACATTAACAGAATAAATTTCTTCTTCAAGCTGTTTTGCCATGAACACATGCCACTACTGTCTCTGACTACCAAGATACACACATTTTATTCCACTCAAATTCTTATTGCACACATGATCACAGATGGAGAACTTCATATTTTCAGAACTTAGCTCTGTGCTTACATATAGTTTTCAGTTAATAATTAAGTAAATATTATGGCTTTGTTTCATGTATCTTGGATGAATCACTTTTATTAGCCAGTCCAGAGAGTGATTTTTTTGATGGTATTAATCTTTTTTTTTTTGTACTTACTTATCCTTGTGTCGCAGGGTTACACTGAGGATAAGCAGGTCATATATATATCCTAAGATTTATTTATTTATAGTTCAGATGCTAGTACAGAACTTTCTAATCATATGAAGAATACAAAGTACTTATTCTATTGAATACAATATTAATTGAACATATTGCCTTGATGTACATAAACTAATGCAGGTGAATGTTTTTTATAAAATAACTATTTTAAAATATTTTTATAATGAAAGATAATCAGCCTGAAATCTTTGAAATTTTATTAGTTTTTTATAGACCAATTTAAAGTTGATTTAAATATTAATTCTAGAAAACAAGTTTTTCATCTTCAAAAGATTCCCAATAGTGATGAACCTTATTTAAACTAACAAAATGTTTTTGGAAGACACAGAAGCTTCAGCTTCAGCCTAGCATGGGCCTGCTTGTTGATAAATATGGCATTTAAAAACAAATGCCATGACTTAATAATTCACATAGACTTTCCAATCTATCACCTATTGGATATTACAATAAACCTGTGAAGTCATTTAGGTATTTTTATCCCCATTTTACAGCTCAGGAATATGTACTTAGATAAATTTCCTAAGAGTCAGAGGCAGGAATGAAGCTAATGCTTTAGACTCAAAATTTGATGCACTCTCCACTTTACCATTAAGATGATGACGATGACTGATCCAGACCAAGTGGTAAATAATACACTCTATCAATGCTATCTGATAAATAAAACCTCTTAAATATCTTTAGGAAATCTTTTTTAAAAATGAGGGACTGATGTTCACTTTGAACAAGTGTATTTTGGGAAATCCCAAGGGGAAAAAATAGTATTATTCCAAAAATGTTAAACCACTTAATTTTCCCCTCATTCTTATTACTCTCTTGTACAGAAATATTACCAAATCTCTTAAAATATCCTCCTAAAATCTCCTTAACATATATTAGGAGAGTCGGGAAAGAGCATCCACTCCAAGAGAATTTTTTTCTTTCTGAAGACTCATTCACTCAAGAGTTCTTAAAGTTATAAGAAAATTCAGAAAATAATGCCTAACCATGAAAACAGTAAAGCAACATCCATATCTAAAATTGTGACCTTTTTAGTATTGGCATTCCTAATATTACAGGAAAATATGAAATGGTTATTATAAAATCTCTTACAGATTCTTGCTATGAAATCTCAGGTTAATTCTTACTATGACTCAGAAATATTATCCATCATCTCTAATTGACTCTCCCCAGTAGCATTTTCAAATCTTTTTCACTCTGCACTGTACTTCCACATTGCCTCAATTATTACTGAGATTATTATAACCACTCCACATGAATTTCCATTTTCCTCTTCACTAATAACAAACATGATTGTTCTATTAGCTCAATAGTTCAATGTTTAACAAATTTCTCCTCTTTAGCTCCTTTCTAAACCAAACTGTCATCATAATCTCTCTCTCTTCGAATTTTTTCTCTTTCTTCAGAAAATTTCTGTGTGTTTCATGTTTCACCAAACTCTAGCTATTCTTATGTATTTACCTTCATCATTATCAAACTTTGAAGAAAAATTCTACTTACAGTATTTAATCCTTTCCATCCACTCACTCCTTACTGCTGGTACTGCTCTTCTTTTAAAACCACTACTACCATAATGAAAATTCTCTCCATAATTTAATTACTTGGTTCCTTATCTCTGGAATTTATGGATTTTTTTAAGAGATGATGTCTCGCTTTTTGCCCTGCGCTAAGTGCAGTGATGTAATATAGTTTACTGCATCCTTGAACTCTTGGGGTCATACAATCCTCCCACCTCAGCTTCCTATAGCTGGGACTATAGGTATGCACCAACTATTCATCTATGGAGTTTTTATACACCTGATCCAAGCAACATCCCATCACAGTTAAAATAACCACACCAAAATAATCATTTTTCCTTAGAGATAATATTTTGCACTGGTTCATCTTTTAATTTTAAACTTTTTTTCCCACAAAATGTAAATAGTTGCCAATGAGTTTCTCTTCTCTCATATGTTTATCTTTGACAATCTTGTCCAATATCACAATTTTAACTTTTCACCCTCAGACAATAAAATCTTAAACCATCACTTCATCTTTCCTTTTCTAAATGTGTCCTGAGACCTATATTCAGACAGGGGTTAAAATCTCAGCTCTAATCTAACATCAGGAAGAATAGCTAATGGATGCTGGGTTTAAAATCTGAGTGATGGGATGGTCTGTGCAGCAATTCACCATGACACATGTTTACCTATGTAACAAGCCTGTGCATCTTGCACATGTACCCCTCAACTTAAAAGTCAGAAAAAAATCTCAGCTCTGATCTGAGAATGCCTGGGTTAAAATTCTTTTTTTTTTTTTTTTGGCATTCTTTATTTTGTTCCTCTAGCTAATGTGTCTTCATTATTATTATTATTATTATACTTTAAGTTTTAGGGTACATGTGCACAATATGCAGGTTTGTTACATATGTATACATGTGTCATGTTGGTATGCTGCACCCATTAACTCATCATTTAGCATTAGGTATATCTCCTAATGCTATCCCTCCCCACTCCCCCCACCCCACAACAGTCCCCGGTGTGTGATGTTCCACTTCCTGTGTCCTAATACTGTCATATATTAGCTATTTTATTTTGGTACAGTTGACTAATCTGGCTCCCTTTGTTTCCTATTATATGCAAAGTGTTATGTAAGGAGTAACTAATAATTTACATAAAACTCATAACTATATCTAATTATAGTAACAATTCAATAAATATGAACTACCATTTACAATTATTTCCCTATATCTGTCTTTCCTTCTATGTTCTTTATTTGTGCTAATTGTATACTTGTCCAGTTACCAAATGCCAAATGCTAGAAGCGTTCTTTGAGTCTCTCTTTTACTGGTCCCAGATATATAATAAGTTATTCAAGTCCTTCCCAAGACCTCCTGTAACATAGCTTCATAGTAGCTTACTTTTTTCCCTTCTGATAATAACTATCCTGAGACTTTATTAGTTTCCATTTGGACTATTACAAGACTGCTGACTGGTTTTATTTCAGTTTTTTGACCCTTAATCCATCACTTACATTGTAGGCAGCTATTTTCTTTTCCCTGAAGCACATCTATAAATCATGTCATTCCATCACTCAAACCATTCCACTCTTTGATATTACCTAAAGATATTAATTTAGAAACCTTAGTTTCACATTCAAAATCTTTTACTAGCTCATTTCAATCTCCCATGCCAGTCTTATCTGGTCCTCAAAATAGATAGTATTCCAGACTAACCACACTATTGGCTGTTATCTACCCATAATCCACATTTCTGACATTCTTCTTTTCATCAGAATTACCATGAAAAGTAAATTTCATATATTGCCTATAATTCATGATGCACCTACAATGACACTTATTCCATAAAAACTGAATCACATGGTCTAAATTTCTCTATCCCTCCTGTGGGGGAAAAAAAAAGGCATGTGTAACTTCGCAAATGGCCAAATAAGGAGCTCAGCAAATCTCCTTAAAGGCAATGATAAAACTAAATAAAACTCATGTGTGAAACTATTTAAGGATTCTAAAAACAAACAAAAAAACAAAGACATACAACAAATTGGAAATCACTTATTTAATAGCAAATACTGAAAATACTGAACATCACATAAGAAGAGTGTGTCTGTGTCATTTTAGCATGACACTGAATTTTAGCATGGCATTGAAAGCCATAAAAACCAACAGCTTCCATGCCGGGGTTGGGAGGGGAGCTGATTTGATTTGGAATGGTGTGTAGAGAAAACAATACTCAGGGAATTGCCAAAAATGATAACAGTTTTGGTATTTAAAAAAATCAAGGAAGGCCAACATCTCAACAAACCTGAGGTTGCAATACAAGCTTGGTCAAGCAACAGATTAGAATACTAGTCAGAAATTTTACAAGATCTGAGGAATGAGACAGCAACACAGTGGTCCTTGATAAACTCTATAAGCCCCTCCTGGTCTGGGAAGCTGCATATATTAGCAAAGTTATGCATATGCTCAGGAAATACTGGAGAGGGCTCTAGCTGCCTACATATTGCTTCTCCAACATAAGACCTTGCACTGTCACAGAAGAAACACAAATAGAATTATCAAAATGCAAAGCCAAGGCATGCCAACATAGTGCCTGAACTTTAAATAAGTTTCTCCACTGACCTATCAGCAAAGAGTGGAAAATTTACTCATACTACGTAAACACAAGCTCTGAATAATCCTTGGCTGACCATTAAGCTATAGTGACTCAAAAGCAACTCCTAGATATCCAGGCTTAAAAAAACAAAGACAAATTCAAACAAAAACTAAACAGAGATATCAGAGAGAAAGCAATAAACGGCATCCAAATTGGAAAGGAGGAAGCCATATTGTCCCCACTCTCAGAAGACAGGATCTAGAAAAATGTAAGGACTACACAAAATCTCTCAGAACTGCTAAACAAATTCAAAAAGTTTCAGGATAGAATATCAACATTCAAAAATCAGTAGTCTTTCTGTACACAGACAATAAATTACCTGAAAAATAAATAAAAACCATAATCCCACTAACAGGAGATACAAAAGTAATAAATTACCTCGGAATAGTAAGTATTTATTCAATGAAGTGTATAGTATTTGGCCAAGGAGATGAATGATCCCTACAAAGAAAACAACAAAATGCTGATGAAAGAAACCCAAAATAACAGAAACAAATGGAAAAGCATCCCATACTTATGGATAGGAAGAGTTAATATTGCTAAAATGACCATATTTCCCAAAGCAACCTATAGATTCAATGCAACTCTTATTCATGACATTCTTCACAGAATTGGAAAAAAATCTCTAAACTTTGTATGAAACCACAAAAGGATCTATATAGCCAAAGCAATCTTAAGCAAAATGAACAAAGCTGAAGGTGTCACACTATCAAACTTCAAAATGTGCTACAAAGCTGTAGTAACCAAAACAGCAGGGTGCTTTCGTAAGAACAGAAATATAGACCAATTAAACAGAAAAGAGAACCCAGAAATTAATCCATACATCTACAGCCAACTGATTTTTGAAAAAGGCATCCAGAACATACATTAAGGCAGAGACAATCTCTTCAATAAATGGTGCTAGGAAAACTGGATATCCATAGGCAGAAAAATAAAACTAGATCCTCCACCTTTCACACTATGCAGAAATAAAATAGATCAAAGATCTAAATGTAAGACTAGAAAATATATAATTTTTAGAAGAAAACATAAGAAAAATATTTCAGGACATTGATTTGAGAAAATATTTTATGAGGAAGACTTCAAAACGCCGGCAACAACACAAAAATAAACAAGTGAGATTATGTCAAACCTAAAAGCTTCTACACTGCAAAGGAAACAATTAACAGCATAAAAAGACAACCTATAGAATGGAAGAAAATATTTGCACACTACTCATTCAACAGGGGATTAATATCTAGACTATAAAAGAAACTCAAATTTCTCAACAACAACAACAACAACACAAAATCGTCTAATTAAGAAAAGGGCAAATGACCTCAATAGACATTTCTTCAAAGAAGACATATAAATGTCTAGCAAGTATACAAAAAAATGCTCACTATCACTAATCATCAGGGAAATTAAAATGAAAACCATAATGATGTTGTATCATACTGTAGTTTTAATGGCTATTATCAAAATAACAAAAAATAAAAAATGCTGGCCGGGATGTAGAGAAAAGGAAGGAAATGAAACAAACCAAGGAATCTAGCAACAGATTACTGGATAAAAAATGTGGTACACAATACATTACCATGCAGACATAACAAAGAATGATATCCTGTCATTTATAGCAACATGGATGAAACTAGAGGACATTAAGTGAAATAAGCCAAGAACAGAAGTAAAACACTGCATGTTCTCACTCATATATGAAAGCCAAAAATAATTTATATAATGGAAGTAAAAAGTAGCATCACACAGCAGGGCCTGTCGGGGATGGGGGACAAGTGGAGGGAGAGCATTAGGACAAATACCTAATACATGCGGGGCTTAAAAGCTAGATGACGGGTTGATAGGTGCAGCAAACCACCATGGCATATGTATACCTATGTAACAAACCTGCACAATCTGTACTTGCATGCTAGATCCTTTAAAAAACAAAAGTAGAACTGAGGATACTAGAGGGTAGTAAGGGTACACAGACACAAAATTAGAGCTAGATAGGAACAAATTCTTGTGTACTATAGCACTGTAGGATATATATAGTTTGAAACTATATATTATATAGTTTCAAATAACGAGAGAGAGGATATTGAATGTTCCCAACATAAACAAATAATAAAGTTTTGAAATGATGGATATGCTAATCACCCTGATCTATACATTAGTGTATATAATCACTATACATTATATGTATCACACAACACTACTAGGTACCCCATAAATATATGCCATTATTATGGGCCAAGTTTAAGCATCTTAAAAGACTGCCAAAAATGCACAAAAGATTTAGCAGAGAATGATTCTCTAGAAAAAAACAGCAATCAAAAAAGCAAACAAAAATATTAACAAATATCAAAGGATTGCAAACCTAATATGCTATAATATATTATCTAAATACTCCCAGATATCAATAAATACAAGGAAGAAATTCAATGTCCCTGTAGTCAACAAATACAGGAACACTGTATGCTAAGTCTAACAACTGGTTTTTTTCTTTGAGGAAAAAAACAAAGAACAAAAACAAAACATATATAATAACAAAAACACACATATGTAATAATGATGTAATAAGAGTCTCTGAAAGAGGGGAAAAATCTAAAGAAATTATGGGTAAAAATTTCCCCAAATTTCAAGAAGCTAGTATTAAATTCATATATTCAATAAGTTCAATGAATCTAGTTAGCAGAAACCTGAAGGCATCCATTCCTAGACAGATCATAGTCAAACTACTGACAGACAGGGCCAAAGAAAAAAACTTAAAGGAAACAAGAGAAATGTAACTCATCAGTTACAATGAAACCATAATAAATTAGCAGCTGATGTTTTACAAGAAACAAAGGAGGCCAGAAGGCAGTGGAAAGACACTGCTTAAACAAATAAAAAAAAAATCTGTCAACCAAGAATCCTACATCCAGGAAAACTATCCTTCAAAATTGAAGGTGAAATCACAATATTACCACATTTTAAAATACTGAGAGAATCTATTGCTAGCAGATTTTTCTTCCAATAAACACTACAGCAGCACTCATTCTGAAAGGAAATGAAATCAGACACTAATTTGAATCCACTCAAACAAATGAAAGAAATGGAAAAGATAATTATGTGGGCAAATATGAAGATAGTGTACATAGTTTATTTTCTCTTTTCTTTAACTGATTTAAAAGAAATGCATAAATCACAATTACAAAACTGTGTTGTTGAACATACAACATATAAAGACAATAACAGCATAATAACAGTGAGTAGAAATAACAACAGTGGGTAGAAGTTATTCGAGCAATATTGTATATCTTACTGGAATCAAGTTAATATTAACCTGAAGTAGACTGTGATACATTAAGGCACATATTGTATACCTAGCACAAATAGAAAATAATTCATAAATATATAGTACAAAAACTAATAAGGAATTAAAATGACACATTTCAATTTATATATTTAACAAAAAGATCACAGTAAAAAAGAATAGCCAGAATAATATGATGAGGTATAGCAATAAAAAGCACAATTCAGGCAAAAATCCAATGATATGAAATATTACAATAATATAAATAATTTAAACACCTATAGTAAATGGCATAAATTTTGAGACTGGATTAAGAAAAAAGATCTAATCTTATGCTGTCTGTAAGAGAAACACTTTAAAACACAAATACAAATAGGTGGATGGTATAACGATGAACTGCATGCAATGGTAACCATAAAAGAATTAGTGTAGCTACACTGATATTATGAACTGAATTGTTTCCTCTCAAATTTATATGTTGAAGCCCTAAGCTTCAATGTGATGGGTTTTTGAAGATGGTGTCTTTCAGAGGTAATTGGATTTAGATGAGGTCAATAGGCAGAGCCCTCATGATGGGATTAGTGTCCTTAGAAGAAAAGGCCTCAGAGAGCTTGATCCTTTGGGTTTTCATGCTTTGTGTTTCTCCCTGCCCCACCCCACCTCGGTATGTATCAAAGAAAGACCATGTTAGGATACAGTGAGAAGGCAGGCATTTGCAACCCAAGGAGAAAGCCCTTACCAGGCACTGGAACTGTTGGCACATTGTTCTTGGACTTTTAGTCTCCAGACTTTTAAGAAATATATTACTATTGTTTAAGCCACCCTGTTTATGGTATTTGGTTTTTGGTAGCCTGACCAGACTAAGATAATTAACAGCAGATAAAATAAGTTTTAAGGTAAATGAGGTTACTAAAAGAAAAAAAAAAAACATAGCAAAGTATAAAAGACTAAATTCATCAGTAAAATATAATAATTCTAAACATGTAAATACCTGAAACTGAGACCTAAATATGCGAGGCAAATCTAGATGACAGAATCAAAGATAGACTAGGGAATTCAATAATAAAATGCTATTGATTTTAATACTTGCTTTCAGTTATTAATAGGTAAGAAATCAGCAAGGAAAGACAATACCAGAACAAGTCTATCAACAAATTTGACCTGTCATCTGTAGTACACTCTACCCAATAATAGCAAATACACATTCTATCAAGCACACATGAATATACTCCAGAATAGAATACACTGGACTATAGAGTAAGTGTCAATGAATCAAGAATGATTGAAATCATACAGTATTCTATCTGGTCACATAGGGAAAAAACAGAAATAAAGATACAGAAATTTGAGAAGTCCACAAATATTCAGAAATTAAACAATGCACCCATTGGTGAAATAAATTACAAGACAAAATTGGAAAAAAAATTGTTGAACTGAATAAAAGCAGAAATACAACATGTTTACATTTATAGCAATCAGGTAAAGCAGTGTTAACCGCAAAATTATGGCTTTAAACGACTTTATTGGAAAAGAAAAAAATATCCTAAGTCAATAACCTAAGTTGCTAACTTAAGACAGAAAAAAAGCAAATAGTTCTCATTCATATTTGGAAGCTAAAAGAAAACTGGTCTCATGGAAGCATAAAGTAGAACTGAGGATGCTGGCAGCTGGAACGTGTAGAGAGGAGGCAGGATAGGAAGAAATTTGTCAAAGCACACGTAATTACAGCTAGATAAAATGAATAAGTTCCAGTGTTCTATAGCACTGTAGGATGACTATAGTTAATAATAATATATGGTTTCAAATAGCTAGAAGGAGGATATGGAATGCACCAACAAACACAGAAAAACAACTGTTTGAAGTGATGGATATGATAATAACCCTGATATAATCACTATATATTATATGTATCTCAACATCACTATGTATCACATAAATATGCAGAATTATCATGTGCCAAGTAAAAAAGTTTAAAAAACAAAAATAACACAAATTAAACAGAAGTAAGGAAATAATAAAGAGCAAAATCAGTGAAATAAAAAAGAAACACAAAGGAGAAAAATCACTACAATCAAAAGTTGATTCATTTGCTAGACTGACAAAAATTTAAAGAAGGTACAGATTGCCAAAATCTGGAATGAAAGAGAACCTCTCTACCAACAAGACAGGATTATAAAAAAAATTATCAACAACTTCATGTTAGCAGAGCAGATAAAATAGACAAATTCCTAGAAAGACACAAAGTATCAAACTCACTCAGCGATGAGAAAAATCTGAATAGATCAAAGCAAGTAAATAATTGAATAATGCAAAATCTTATTGCAAAAAGTCTTCAGAACATACTGCTAACTTCTATCAAACATTTAAAGAAGGAATAATACCAATCCTTCACAAAGCCTTCTAGAAAACAAAAGGGAAAGGCAGACTTCCCAAGTTATTTTGAAGTCATTATTAAAATACCAAAGAAATACTAAAACATCACAAGAAGAGAATATCACAGATCAATATATCTCATGAATACAGATTCATGAGTCCTTAACAAAATATTGGCAAACTAAATTCAGTAATATGTAAAAAATATTTTACTCCATAACCTTTAAAGACTTATCCCAGGAATGCAAATTTGGCTGAACATCTGAAAATCAATTAATGCAACATACCATCTCAACAGAATAAAGGATAAAAACCACATGATCACCTCAATGAGCAAGTAAAGTATTTCAAAAAACTCAGCATCAATTATGATTAGAAACCCTCAACAAACTATGAGTATTAGGAAATTTCTTCAACATGATAAATAGCATCTTTGGAAAATATACAGCTAACATCATATTTAAAGCTCAATGGCTAAATGCTTGCTACCTAATATTAGAAACAGGAAATGGTTTTTACTTTCAAAATTCCATTCACCATTGTTCTGGAGGTTCAAGCCACTGCAACCAAAAAATGATAAAAGAAAGAAAAGGCATCTAGATTTAAAAGGAAGGACTGTAAATGTATTTATTTGCATAACATGATCCTACTTGCAGAAAATCCTGACAGATCCACAAAAACTTTAACAAACAATTGAGTTCCTCATGGCCATAAGTTTTCAGATCAAAATACAAAAAATAGAGTTTATTCATTAGCAAGAACAATATAACTACAAGAAATGATTCCGTTCACAATATCAAAATGAATAAAATCCTAAGATAACCTAATAGAAGAGCAAGATTTGTATAATGAAAGCCAAAAAAATCTTTCTGCATAGAAATTAAAGCAGATATAAATAGGTGGATATGTATTCTAAATTCATAAATTGAAATACTCAATATTGTTAAGATGGTAATCATCCCCAAATTGATTTATACATTCAACAGAATTGTTACTAATTTCCCAGCATGCTATTTTGCAGCAACTGGCAAGCTGACACCAATATTTATATGAAAACAAGGAGAACTCAATAACCAAAAATAAGTCGGTAGAAAGAAAAAAAGTGTTGGAAAACTTACAGTTCAAGATTTCAAAACTTGCCATAAAGCTACAATATGGTACTAGCATAAAGACAGGAATTTAGATCAATGGAAGACACGAGTATTCTGAAATAGACTCCTATATTCATGGTCAACATACTATCAACAAAAGTGCCAAAATAATTCAACAGGGGAAAGGATAACCTTTCTAAGAAATAGTTCAGGTTAAATTGGATTTCCCCATGCCAAAACAGTGCCTCATACCATACTCAAACACAAACACAAAATAACGGATAGACTTACATATAAAAGTTAAATATAGGCATTTTCTAGAAGACATGAAAAAAAATCTTAATGACCTTGGAATATATTCTTAGATACAATATCAAAGCTAAACACATAAGTTTAAAAAATAACTGCAGCAAAATTTTTAATTTGCATTTTAAAATACTCCACTAAGAAAATAGGGGGGAAAATCATGGACTAGTAGAAGATACTTGCAAACATGTATCTGATTAAAAAAAAACTCTTATCAAGATTATAAAGGAATACTTCAAAATAAATAAGATTGTCAAAAAACCTCAAATAAATATGTATGCATGATTGGAACAAGCACTTCATCAAAGAAAATACACAGATGTCAGTAAAAAGATACTCAATGTCACTAATCATTAGAGAAATACAAAGTAAAACAATAATCAGATACCACTTCACGTATTTTACAAAAGTGGCAAAAATGTGAAGAAATTGGTGGGAATGTGAAATAGTACACAGCTGTCCAGTTACATAAGAAGGTAAACATTAATGTATCATAAAACTGAGCAATTTCTCCCTAAATATCTACCCTAGTAAGATGCTATGACTGAATGTTTGTGTCCCCTCAAAAGTTCATATGTTGAACACTAATGCTCAGTGTGGATTAATTTTAATACAGGGCCTCTAAGGAGGTAATTAAGGTTAAATGACGGCATAAGGATGGAGTCCTTATCTGATAGGATTAGTGTCTTTCTATGCAGAGAAATCAGAGGGCTTGAGCACACTCTGTTTTCATGCACACACAAAGAAGAGATCATATGAGTACATATAAAGAGGGTGGCCCTCTGAAACCTAAGTGGAGAGTCCTCAACAGACTTCAACCTGGCTGGCACCTTGATCTTGGACTTCTCAGACTCCAGAACTGTAAGAAAATAAATTTCTGTTGTTTAAGACACCCAGTCTGTTGTATTTTATTATGCAGCCTAAGCAGGCTAAAACACACACACACACACACACATGCACACACACACATGCACACACACACACATACACACACATATACACACACACATATATATACACACATATATATATACACACACACATATATATATACAGCTACACACACACACACACACACACACAGACTATTCAATAAATATTCATTACAGCACTTTTCCTAAGAGAAGCTGGAAACTAAGTTTCTTCAATTATTGACTGGAAAAACAAAATGATATATCCCTATAATAGAACACTATTCATCATTAAAAGAAAAAAATCTTGTCACTTGCTACAACATAGATAAACATCAAAAACTCATTCTAAGATGCCAGACACAAAAGATTTTGTATTATCTAATTCCATTTAATGAAATGCCCAGAAGAGGCTAATCTATAGAAACAATTCGTGGTTGGCTTGAAGGTAGTATGGAACTGTCAATTGATTGGACTTGAGAGAGCTTGTTGGGTGATGGAAAAGTTCTACAAATGGATTTTGGTGATGGCCATATAACTCTGTAAACTTACTATTAATAGTTTAATTGTACATTTTAATAAGATGAACTAAATGATGTCTCAGTACAGCGTGAAGGACGAGGAAGTGGAAAAGGAGGGGGAAGGGAAAGGAAAAGAAGAAAATGGTAAAAAACAGAAGTGGAGCATCTGAGTTCTCAGAATTGGATATCCTTACTAAGGTGGGCAGAATGATACTTCTGTTACATGTAGTGAAATATTTAGAGACAGGTATGATCGTTATGTTTAGGGTTAAAAGTGGAACAATATCACACACATAAAGTGGGTATTAAATAAGACAGAGATGCCTTTCTCTTACTCATAGCAGTCCAGCCAGGGCAACTCTTCTCTACAGGAGAATCATGTTCCTCCTATCTTGTTGCTCAGTCATCCCCTAATGCATTGTCCCCATCTGCCTGGTAAAACCTGGGTCCCAGCAACGTAAATATTCCAGGTCATTGAAAGGGGGTGTCAGTCTAAGGCAAAGAGCTTGTGTTTAAGTTGGAATGACTTGGAAGTTGTCCACACCTCTGTTCACATTCCATTGGCCCTCTGTATAGGATCAAGGAAAGGTATGAAATGTAATCTTATTTGGGGGACCATAAACCCAGCTAAAACTCTGCTACTGTAGAAGAGGGTAAGGGACTCTTTTGAATAGTTTAACATTGTGGATGAAAAGTTTATTAAATTATGGTAACAGATAATAGTGATAATCCACATACATTTTCAATAGTAAAGAGATTATGCCTAATTAACAGATACACTGGCTCTCTTTTCAAGATCAGAGTTTCTAAATAAAATCAAATATGCAGATAAACTGCATCTATAGTATGTGTAATTTTGATTTAAAAATGAATTTTCAAAACAAGGCAGGGTGTGAAAATATAAGTGACTGCAAGTAGTGGTCAGATAATTGAAGAAGGTATTCTCAAAGATATGACAGTTACATGATAAATGGAAATAAGGTACTAATGTGGTCACGAGAAGAAAGAAAAATTATAGTGATCTACTATTATTATATATATATAATATATATTATTTCCAGTAACTGTTGTACACTCTGCTTTCCACTGGAGAGCCACATCACTTTTGCCCTTTCATCATTCAGGTCTCTGCTCAAAAGTCATCTTCTCAAAAAGCGATTTTCCTGACCACTTTATTTTAAATGGCACCTCACCATCATCATGATTATGCCTAGTATGCTACTTCATTTTTTTTAATACTAACTCTTCAATCTGGAATTGTCTTTATTATTTTTTTTCTTCAACTAGAATATACATTCCCAGAGAGCAAGATATTGTGTTTTACACTGGTACCATGAATTCCTAGACTAATACTTGGCACATAGACACTCGATAAATATTTGTTACATTAATTAAATTAATGAAAACTTAACCACATAGTAAGGCTCTCAAGACTGAAATAATGTTAAATAACCTCGAGCAGACTGTTATATATTTGGTACCAAATATTGGGGATACACTAAGCATGTAAGGAAAAACAAGTATTTCAAGCTGTGTGTGAAGAACAGAAAGTAAGCATACCAACATCAGTGCTTCTCAAAATCCTCTAACACTTCATCTTTACTAATGAAAACTTTATAACTTACTGTACTTTGTATTATGACTGTTTACATCTATATTAATGTTATTTATGTCTTTTATTTGCTAAACAACAAATTTTTGAAGCCAGAAAGCACATTGATGCACCTTGGTATTTAGCACTTACAGTATTTTGCAAATTATAAGTTCTCAATATATATTTGGGTGAAAGAATAAATGAACGATTAACAAAGTGGCCAATTTTTACAAATTGAAGAGCTTGTTTTATTCAGAATAAACAAACCTCAATGGCCACTTGTAATAATCAGACCAATAAAAATACTTATGTTAAAACATTATCTCACTTAATGAAAAAAATAGTAACCATAAACTATGCATATAAAGGAACCACAGTACATGATATTGATATTCTTTATCTACTTCTGTCTAACTCAGTTAGGAAACCATCCATGTTTTCATGTAAGAGCACAGCACCATGACACTCTGAGTTATAGCACACAATGCCAAATGTGTAGTAAAACTCCTTTGAGAGAATTAGTTAATACACATGCATAGCACTTTTTATATTATAAAACTTGGGCGCTTATCTCTTTCTTTAATGTGAAAAGCAATTACTCCATTGAAGATGTAGAATAATTATTTTAAAATATCACTTGCTCTTAAAACACAGTGGAGGCATTGTACCTTTGAAGCGGCATCTTTGAACTCAAACCATTTTCATTACTTTTGCTGCATTTTAAAAGAAATAATAAGACTTTGGTATATGAAGATTGATATCTTTATTAATGTCTTTATTAGTCTTCAATTTTACTTGCTGAATCATGAGTCTTTCCATGCTGAATTCACTATTGCACCACTAGTTTGGGAAAGAGGTGTCCTTGAAGTTGGGAATAGGACACAGATCTTGAGAGAAAAGTTACTGTTTCTGTCCTTGCAGCATGATGTTTACATTCTCAATATCTTCCAGCCCCTACCTCCCATTTTTCTATCAGTCGCAAGGATTTATTTTTGAATATACCTGATTCTGTTGCTTAGACTTTTTCTCCTTTCAGAAAGGAAAGCAGAGCTTACTACTTTTCCCTTTCATTAATTTTTTCCTTCCCCCCTCAACTTGCCATCCTTAGTTATAAGTCACCTCTTTTTCTACTGAACTTTGTATTTTGTTTCTCCTTCACAGAACTTACACATATTGCCTTGTTATCCTATTGTTTACGCACACATTTTTCATCTTCATTCATAGTTTAAAGCTTTGGAAGAGGTAGAGTGCTTCTAAGTTACCTCTACATTCTTCGCTAATTCTACCTCAGTGTCTTGTGCTGAAAGGCTGAACAATGTTGAATTAGTGATGGAGTTGAGAACCTTATTATACTGATCACATCTTGTAAGACCTTTCCTACTCTTCTGCCTGCTCTACTGCCTGGTGTTTGGCCATTTGCTGTTCATTAGCACTTATTTAATGAGTAAGTCTGGGAAACAAAAAGATATGAGATGCAAACAGGTCTGTTGTAACTCGTTACTTTCTCATTATTATTCTAGGTAATAGGTGACAGAAAGTTACCAAGCAAAAGAAAATCTTGGCTATGAAAAATGTTCACCAGTAACTTGCGGTTCTTCCCCACCCCCAGTAACTTAATAATGAGTCTAGTTTACACAGTATAACGCTCCTACAAAGAATGAAATAAAGGAAAAACACTGAAAAATTCTTATCACAAAAAATAAAATATTAAGAAATTTTTGAATAACTGATTCATCAACTTCCTTAACCAAAGTAGAGGCTTAAAAGAAGACATTTTAAATATATAACTTCAGCATTAACATTCGTGTTTATTTCATTTGTCATATTATTTAAATTAAAAATAGTGATGTTTCCTTCACCCACTTATGCCTAGTGTTCCATTATTGGAACGCTAAGCATGTGGGAGTTATTTATATCCTGCTGCTCAAGGTAATTACCAAGGTCTGATTGCAAAAATTCAAAAAATTGCAACCAGGCATAAATGAGTAAGTTCAGACACTCAACTATGCTGTGTATTGGCAATTTGGAGATAGCTGTGTTTCTGCTCAGACTTACTGCCTTTTGGAAGGGGTGCTGCCACTCAGTATCTCCAACATCATGTCGACCTTTGCTGCAACATTAAAGTGTCCATGAACATACAGATTTTATCTTGCAATGCACAGAAGCTAGAAATCTTTGTGAGGCACCCTTACTGTGTTTTGTAATGTGATACATAGATTGACTTTATAATACAATCAAAGATGTAACACTTTCTGATTAGATTAGACAAATATGAGTTAAATAATGATGTTGGTTAAAATTCCAATAGAAAACAATGGCAACTCAAAATAGGATAATTTAGGTAGGGCTTCTTTTTCAATGGGTTAAATTACGCAGGTCTGGGTGGAGTGCAGCCAACGAAAGGGGAATAGTGCAAAAACCCAGAGCTAGTAGCAGTGAGGTGGTACCAGTTCCAGGCCCAAAGGATAAAGGACAAGACAGTGAATTTCAAGAGAGTGATACAGAGCAGGATGCATCAAGAGATACATCAATTTTGTTTGAGGTACAGTCAGCTTAAGACAACCACACACAGAAGACAGAAAATAAATGCCTTACCTTCTTTCTTCTTCCTCTCACTGAAACATGCCTGAACCTCCCAATCAGCAGACTTAAAGCGAAACTAGTGTTCTAGCCACTATTCTAAAGGTTCCAGGTGTAATAAGTTAACCTAACCCAGCTGTTGCTCATTTTCTTCATCTGTAAAACGCTAATAAGAATAGTAACTACCTTATACCTCATAAGTCAGTATAAAGATCAGGAGAAAACAAAGTATTTTCAACAGTTCATTGGATGTGATAAGTTATGAATAAATGTCTCTTACTATTGGCTTTATCAAATGAGGCTCTTTTGTACAAGTGTACAGAAAACTATAAAAGCCACAAAATGAGGTTTCTTTCTTAGGATTCAATAATATATCTCTGTGAATTACTCTGTGTTAGAAGAACAGGAAAACTGAGTAAATTTATTTTCAAAAACAAATTTTGGTATTTATTTTAGTTTTCCTGGAAAGAAGAACACTTACAGGAAAAGCTCTTATGTTTCCATAATTAAATTCAAAATCAGAATTATAGCAGGTGAATTTAAAATCTAAAAAGGGTCCAGTAAAAAAGTCTCCATGCCAAAATGTCAGTGAGATCTGCAGGAATACCAGGTTTTCCTTCGGAATACACACCATGTCCAAGGGGAGTATAAGGAACCAAAGCTGATTTAGGTAAAAAACTCACAAGTAATATGGTTGACAAGCAAGGAATGACATTGATGATGGAAATAAATATTTGTAAGGCAACAGAATAAAAATTTGAGTGTCCACAAGAACATATAGTTCCTCAACACAGCAAGCTCCTACCTCCAAATTACTTTCCCATATGAAATAGCTTGGAATGCTATTCCCTTCATATTTTCATGTCTGTCTACTACTCAACCTGAAATCTTAAAGGTTTTTTGTTTGTTTTTGGCATCCATCATCATCATCTTATAAAAAATGAGCCCTTGATTTTAAATCATACACATTCTACCTGTTATTTTAGTATCATTATTTTATGTCACTTGTTTCCACTATAAATAAAATTATCAACTTTTCTAGATCTCTTTGTATATTGCCCCTAGTAGACTATACATTCCTTGAGTACTTGAATTAAATTAGTCTAACTCATCTGTATAAATCCCAATCTAGTGTACCGTGAATAAGAAGTATCCTACAAATAAGTGAACAATTATGATTCTTATTTTTGAAAGAATAAATTGACCTTGGAAATTCCTAGTTTCCGTCATTTGGCCTCCCCTTCTCTTATTTAAGCATTAAGCAGTTTCCAAAGAAAGAAAATGTACACTGGTGTATTAGTCCATTTTCATACTGCTATAAAGAACTGCCTGAGACCAGGTAATTTATAAAGGAAAGAGATTTAATAGACTCACAGTTCAGCATGGCTGGGAAAGGCTTCAGGAAACTTACAATCATAGCAGAAGGTGGAGGGGAAGCAAGGCATCTTCTTCACAAGGTATCAGGAAGGAGAAATACTAAGCAAGGGGAAAGACCCCCTTATAAAACCATCAGATCTTGCGAGAACTCACTATCAGGAGAACAGCGTGGGGGAAACTGCCCGCATGATTCAATTACCTCCACTTGGTCTTTTCCTTCACAGGTGGGGAATATGGAGCTTATGAAGATTAAAATTCAAAATGAGATTTGGGTGGAAAAAGGAAGCCTAACTATATCAACTGGTGATTTATTCTGTGCTCACATGGATCCCTGGCATAAATTGTGGGTAAGCTGAAGGACAGTGGTTTGACATAAAGCCTGCCTGTTTCCATTTTGTCAGACATAATAAATAGGATTAAAAAATATTTTATTTTAAGTTCTGAGATAGATGTGCAGGACATGCAGGCTTGTTACATAGGCAAATGTTTGCCATGGTGGTTTGCTGTACCTGTCAACCCATCACCTAGCTATTAAGCCCCACATGCCTTAGTTATTTATCCTGATGCTTTCTCTCTCCATAACCCCCAAAAGTCCCCTCCCTGTTCCCCTCCCTGTGTCCATGTGTTCTCATTGTTCAGCTCCCACTTATAAGTGAGAACAGGTGGTGTTTGGTTCTCTGTTCCTGTGTTAGTTTGCTGAGGAAAATAGCTCACAGCTCCATCCATGTCCCAGCAAATGACATAATCTCATTCCTTTTTATGGCTGCATAGTATTCCATCATGTATATGTACCACATTTTCTTTATCCAGTTTATCATTGACGGTCATTTGGATTGATTCTATGTCTTTGCTATTGTGAATACTGCTGCAATGAAGATACGCATGCAAGTATTTTTATAATAAAATGATTTATATTCCTTTGGGTATATACCCAGTAATGAGATTGCTGGGTTAAATGGTATTTCTGGTTTTAGTTCTTTGAGGAATTGCCACACTGTCTTCCACAATGGTTGAACTGATTTGCATTCCCACCAACAGTGTAAAAGTGTTCCTCTTCCTCCACAGTCACACCAGCATCTGTTGTTTCTTAACATTTTAATAATTGCCATTCTTACTGGCTTGAGATAGTATCTCATTGTTGTTTTGATTTGCATTTCTCTAATGATCGGTGATGTTGAGCTTTTTTTCATGTTTTTGGCCATATAAATGTTTTTTTATTTTATTTTTGAGAAGTGTCTGTTCTTGTCATTTGACTACTTTTTAATGGAGTTGTTTTTCTCTTCTAAATTTGTTTAAGTTCCTTGTAGATTCTGGACATTAGACCTTTGTCAGGTGGATAGATTGTGAAAATTTTCTCCCATTCTGTTGGTTTTCTGTTCTGATGGTAGTTTATTTTGCTGTGCAGAATCTCTTTAGTTAAATTATATTTATTTGTCAAATTCTGCTTTCGTTGCAATTGCTTTGGGCGTTTTCTTCATGAAATCTTTGTCCCTCCCTCTATCCTGAATGGTATTGCCTAGATTTTCTTGTAGGGTTTTTATCATTTTGGGTTTTACATTTAAGCCTTTAATCCATCTTGAGTTAATTTTTGGATAAGAAAGGGGTCCAGTTTCAGTTTTCTAAGTATGGCTGGCCAGTTTTCCCAGCACCATTTATTAAATAGGGAATCCTTTCCCCATTGCTTATTTGTGTCAGGTTTGTTTAAGATCAAATGGTTGTAGATGTGTACTCTTATTTCTGAGATCTCTGTTGTGTTCCATTGGTCTGTGTGTGTGTTTTCTGTCAGTACCATGCTGTTTTGGTTACTGTAGCCTGTAGTATAGTTTGAAGTCAGGTAGTGTGATGGCTCAACTTTGTTCTTTTTGCTTAGGATTGAATTGGCTGTTCAGGCTCTTTTTTGGTTCCATATGAATTTTAAAGTAGTTTTTCTAATTCTCTGAAGAATGTCATCGGTAGTTTAATGGGAATAGCATTGAATCTATACATTGCTTTGAGCAGTATGGCCATTTTCATAATATTGATTATTCCTATCCATGAGCATGGAATGTTTTTCCATTTCTTTGTGTCCTCTCTGATTTCTTTGAGCAGTGGTTTGTAGTTCTCCTTGAAGAGGTCCTTCACTTCCCTTGCTAGCTGTATTCCAAGGTATTTTATTCATTTTGTAGCAATTGTGAATTGGAGTTCATTTATTATTTGACTGCTTGTCTGTTGTTTGTGTATAGAAATGCTTGTTATTTTTGCACATTGATTTTGTATCCTGAGACATTGTTGAAGTTGCTTATTAGCTTAAGAAGCTTTTGGACTAAGACGATGGGGTTTTCTAGATAGAAGATCATGTCATCTACAAACAGAGACAGTTTGACTTCCTCTCTTCCTATTTGAATAACCTTTATTTCTTTCCCTTGCCTGATTACCCTGGCCAGAACTTCCAACACTATGTTGAATAGGAGTCGTGAGACAGGGCATCCTTGTTTTGTGCGAGTTTTCAAGTTGAATGCTTCCAGGTTTTGCCAATCCAGTATGATACCGGCTGTGGGTTTGTCATACACACCTGTTAATATTTTGAGGTATGTTCCATTGATATCTAGTTTATTGAGAGTTTTTAACATGAAGGGATGTTGGATTTTATCAAATTCCTTTTCAGCATCTATTGAGATAATCATGTGGTTTTTGTCTTTAGTTCTGTTTATGTAATGAATTATGTTTATTGATTTGTGTATGTTGAAACAGCTTTGCATCCCAGGGATGACACCTACTTGTTCATTGTGGATAAGCTTTCTGATGTGTTGCTGAATCCGGTTTCCCAGTATTTTATTGATGATTTTTACATCGATGTTCATCAGGGATACTGGCCTGAAGCTTTTTCTTTTTTCTTTTTCTTTCTTTTTTTCTTTTCTTTTCTTTTTTTTTTTTTTAAATCTCTGGCAAGTTTTGGTATCACAGTGATGCTGGCCTCATAAAATGAGTTAGGGTGAAGTCCCTCCTTTTCAATTGTTTGGAATAGTTTCAGAAGAAATGCTATCAGCTCCTCTTTGTACCTCTGGTAGAATTCAGCTATAAATCCGTCTGGCCCTGGGGTTTTTTTCCTTGAGAGGCTATTTATGACTGCCTCAATTTCAGAACTTGTTATTGGTCTGTTCAAGAATTCAACTTCTTCCTGGTTCAGTCTTGCGAGGGGGTATGTGTCCAGGAATTTATCCATTTCTTCTAGATTTTCTAGTTTATTTGCATAGAGGTGTTTATAGTATTCTCTGATGGTTGTTTGTATTTCTGTGGGGTCAGTGACAGTATCTTTTTTATCATTTTTCTTGTGTCTATTTGATTCTTCTCTTTTCTTTATTATTTCAGCAGGTGGTCTACATTTTTAAATAAATAATAATAAATCCTGGATTTATTTTTGAAGTGTTTTTCATGTCTCTCCCTCCAGTTCCTCTCTGATCTTGGTTATTTCTTGTTTTATGTTAGCTTTGGGGTTTGTTTGCTCTTAGTTTTCTATTTCTCTTAGTTGTGATGTTAGGATGTCAATTTGACATCTTTCTAGCTTTTTGATGTGGGCCTTTAGTGCTATAAATTTCCCTCTTGACACTGCTTCAGCTATGTCCCAGAGAATCTGGTATGTTTTCTCTTTGTTCTCATTAGTTTTAAAGAACTTCTTGATTTCTGCCTTGATTTCATGATTTATCCAAAAGTCATTCAGGAGCAGGTTGTTCAATTTCCATTTAGTTGTATGGTTTTGAGTGAATTTCTTAATCTTGAGTTTGAATATGAGTTCACTGTTGTATGAGATATTGTTTGTTATGATTTCAGCTATTCTGCATTTGCTAAAGAGTGTGTTACTTCTAATTATGTGATGAATTTTAATGTAAGTGCCATGCTCTGCTAAGAATGTATATCCTGTTATTTGTGGGTGGAGAGTTCTATTGATATCTATCAGGTCCACTTGATCTGTGGCAGATCCTGTCTAGACTGCCTCTTTAGGCTGGACCCTGACTGATCCTTCCTCACTGGATGGGGCCTCCCTGCAGGAATTTCAGCAACTTCAGGCAGGAGTGTAGGGACAGAGCTCTGGTCTCTCTGGGGTTAAGCCCTTTGGGGGAGGGACGGCTGTGGTCTCCATGGATCAACAGACTTAGTCCTTCCTGGTGGCTCTGAGGAATCTAGGCAGTCCAGATGTATGGGAGTGCCCCCAGCACAGTGCACTTCCTCTACCAAGGGGCAGCCAGAGTGCTTTGTTAAGAGGTCCTGCATCTTATGCCTCCTGACTGGGTGAGACTCTCCAACAGGGGTCACCAGATACCTTTTACAGGAGCATTCCTGCTAGCATCAGGTCGGTTTCCCTCTGCGACGGAGATCCCGGAGGAAGGAGCAGGCAGCCATCTTTGCTGTTCTGCAGCCTCCACTGATGACACCTCCAGGTATGGGAGGGGCCCAAGTGAATAGGGTCTGAAGTGGACCCCGAGCAAACCACAGCAGCCCTACAGAAGAGGGGCCTGACTTTAAAAGAAAAACAAACAACAGAAGGCAGCAACAACAGCATCAACGAAAAAGTCCCCATAGTCAGTCATCATTTCAGTCTTTTTACACAATCCCGTAGTTCTTGGAGTTAATATAGAGATAAAACTTTGAACTGTGCAACACAATTCTAAACACTAAAGCTTACTGAACAAATAAATATAACATAATAAAAGCAGGATTTCTGAGCAGGTAGAATGAGGCTAATATGACAACTTCTCATCCCTTGACCTGTAAGAATGTGACCTTTTCTGTTTTGTGTATTAATTTTTAATCCTCTAGTTACCCTCTCTCACCTGAGCCCTCTATACCTTGCTCAGGTTTAATAACATGAATGAGTACATGAGACCACTTCAGAACTTTCTGTTTGTATAAGTATACATTCAAAAATACAAAAATATTTCTTAGCATTCAAGGTAATACTATTCAAGAATATTCTCTATACTAAGATTGTTTCTGACTTTGATTTGTCAACTGCTTCCCCACCTACACCCTCCCCTAAAATACATTCTGAGAAATATATATATATATATATATATATATATATATATATATATATATACACACACACACACACACACATACATGAAGTATTGCCCTGTCGCCCAGGCTGGAGTGCAGTGGCGCAATCTCGCCTCGTTGCAATGTCCACCTCCCAGGTTCAAGCGATTCTACTGCCTGAGCCTCCCGAGTAGCTGAAACTACAGGTGTATGGCACCAGGCCCAGCTAATTTTTGTATTTTAGGTAGAGACGGGGTTTCACCGTGTTGGCTAGAATGGTCTCGATATCTTGACCTCGTGATCCATCTGCCTTGGCCTCCCAAAGTGCTGGGATTACAGGCGTGAGCCACGGTGCATGGCCTGGAATATATATTTTTTATATATAGTAGACATTTTAATGTATATTTATGTTTGAAATATAGCTTAAGAAATGGACTTAACCCATCTAACCATCATATCACGTTAGTCTATCAAAGACCAAAAAGTAAATCTGTTTTGAAGTGAGGCATAAATTCTTAAGAAAATAACATGATATCATGTGTTTTTGAAGTACAGTACAAGAAATTCAAATAAGCAAATGACTGAGTTTTTAAAGTTAATATTTCCCTATGTATAATTGCAATGAAATGTGCAAAGCATGGAAAGATAACCTTTTAAACAATCATGTCAGATATAAATTTGCCAGAGATGATCCATCTTTCAAAGCATAAAGCTTTCCTTGAATTAATTTCTATATTCAACCTTCATATATATCACTCTCCTACAACACTATGTTGCTCTACAGCCAAATTCCATTTAGCTATGACTCAGCGCCTTATTTACTTCACCGATTGTATTAAGCCTACACAAATCATCAGAAAGCTTTAATTTGGCCTCCATGGCCTTTCTCTACTTCCCAGAAATGGTAACAAGGTATTTTAAATCCTCCCAACCCTAAGTACACATGTTGCAACATCACTACTATTTGCCAAATAAATTACACTACATGTATAATTCTCATCTTCCTGTGCTGACTAGCAGAACCAGCCCAAGGAAAGAGAGAGAGAGAGAGACAGGAAAAAAAAAAAAAAAAAAAAAGGAAAAGCATTTCATTATATATATTTAAAACCACAGCACTCAAAATCTTGGTAAGGAAAGTCCCATTTGGGCAAAAATATGTCGCTGACTACGCAGGTAATAAGGTTAGGCTCAGAGGTATCCATGGGAACCACTAATAAAAGTACTAGAATATGTTTGGGAAGGAAATATTGGAAACGGGTGAAAACTTACTGAGGGACACATGCAATGGTACTAAATCATCACATACAGCACTATCATTAAAATGTAATTAGATTAGTGGAGGAACCCATCTACCATATTTACAATCCCATATAATCATTACACAATAATCACATAATCATATTAATGCTATGGAGTATGTATTTATCCTCATTTTACATGTGAAGAAACTGAGACTCAGAAATAGTAGGTGTGTTCAAGGGCCCACAGATAATAAGACATAGAGCAGAATTCATACATAAAATAAAGGCAGGTATCTAATTCCATGGGCTATGAACTTAATATATATGTTTTTCCCTGCGAGGTAAATGAAACCAAGTTTAAGATTTACATACCGAACTAAATGCAGACATTTTGAGTGTCTGCAGTATAATATGGAGAGTCAAGGATTAAAAGGGGGCTAAATAAAGAGTTTAAAAATAGTACTATAATGGGAGGGCAAAAAGAAGAGAGGTACACATAGGTCAGGACCTAACACTAGGTTACAGAGTAAAGGCCAAATTAACCATGTAAGACGACAGGGCAGCCAATGGAGAGCATGACAGTGTGCAGAGTAGTTGGCACAAGACTGAATGTTCACAGGCACCCAAAAGGTACTGGCGGATTCATTTTCTTTTTTTTCCCAGAATATGCAATTTCCTATTGCACACTGGCTTATTGCATGTTCCTTTTAAAAGAGAGCTTTTCTGTAATAATTATTTTGAAAATTACAAGATAACAAACTATTGCATGAGTCCCAAAAGACTATTCAGTGTGATTCCCATAAACCTCATTACACTTGTCAAGGACAACAAAAAATAGGTGTTAAATGTGAAAGTAAATGTCAGCTTGCTATTTCTTCTAAAATTAACCAGGTAAACTGGATCATATAAAAGTTGGATATTGATAATAGTGATAACAGATTGAAAATTCCAAATATACTGAAGTCATCATTGGTTTGTCAACATGAACTTAAATTATTTTATGACTACATAATGATCTCTCATTACAACTGCGAGTGTAGGTAAATGTGGTTTTTAATCAAATCAACCAGATATTCAGAGTTAATTTAAGATATGTAGTGATTCCTCTAATGAGTCAGTTTCAAAAAAGACTGATTAAAAGTGAATTATGTTACCATATCCATGCACCATACATACAGACATAGAAGAATACAAGAAAGTGATGTGCTATTATTAGGAGAAAAGAATTGGTAGAAGAAAGAACACAGACAACAAAAGAACAAATCTTTACTTCCTTTAAACACAGCTTTCACAGAACGCTGCTAAAGACTCTTCCAAATAAAACAAAATCCAGAGCAGCACAAATTGCTAAAATATATATTTTATGAGGTAACACAACAGATCACAATTGTAGATAGTGAGGTAAAAGTCCTCGAAGCACAAAGGCTATAAAATTATGATGTAGAGGTCTGTAAACATCTGAATTTCAATCCATTCACTGTAGTAGAGACCTGTTACTTCAAGAGTATGATATCAAATGAGGTAAGGGAAAGACATACAAATACAGCAGTAAAACAACAAATAACAGGAAAAAAGATTAGACTATGCAATTTGTATCTTCATTAATATTTTGTTTAAAGGTAAAGTAATAACCTTCTTTAAGAAAGAATATATTTTCTTCCCCTTCTGCCATGATTGTAAGTTTTCTAAGGCCTCCTCAGCCATGTGGAACTGTGAGTCAATTAAACTTCTTTCCTTTATAAATTAAACAAATAAAAATAAAAATAAAAATAAATAAATTTGGTATAATGATCGTAAAAAAAAGAAAATACCTGTCTTTCCTGAAAAGTATACTTAAAAAGCTAGACCATCTTGTTCCTTCTATTATTAACACAATTAAACCTCAAGTTAAAGGTAGAGGGGAACGGCATGCTTTTTCATGGTTAAAAATCCACAGCTTTCCTCAAATACATTTTTATTCCTGGAGTTATATGCTGTGTTCTTTTGTTTTTTGGTTATCTCCCATTGTAGCTGGCTCAATCTTGGAAGTACTAGGCATTTAATAAGCACTTGAATAAATTAATTTGACTGAGTAATCTCAAAATTAGGTTCTAAATATATATATTTTTAATTGCTCTTAATGGGAAATTCTGCAGTGGAAAAGGTTTGTGTGAGCTGTTTTTTTTTTTCTTAATGCATATTGGTGTTGTCTCTAACAAGCATAGAATTATTTGTCCTTTAATACTACATTGATGATGGACACTAAAGATCACACATAAGATAGATTCTAATTCCAGACCTTGTGGCCCAGTCTTTAGAATGTGACAGGCAAGGAGAAAAAGTAATACAGGTTTTGGCAGGAGATTGCTGGGGAAAGGACCAAGCTAAGTATCTTCCCTCATAGAGGAAAACAGGGGGTTTAGTCACTGAATAGACATCCAGCATCCCTCCTGATGTGCAGGTGTTTGGAGATGGCTGTTCAACAACACGATTTGCTCCTTCCACTAATTCACACATGTAGATGGTCCAGAGTTAACCAGAGCACTGGGATAGACATTGAGACTCAAGGCACAACCTTGACTTTGATGTGGGAAGGAAAGTAGGAATGAAAACAGTGAATAAATGAACGAATGGATGAATGAATGAATGAATGAATGAATGAATAGAATCATACCCACATGATCTCCTAGTTTTGTTTCTCAGCTCCTACAGACAACAATTCTCAAGTTTAGTTTATTGTCAGACAATTCAGAAAATAAGCTGGAATTGAAGTTATCAAAATTGGTCCAGGAAACACAGGCTGTTGGGGTACACATACTGTAGTATTATGCTAGGAAAGTTGCAGAATCCAGTGTAAGAAGTTTGAAATTAGCAGATTTTTTAATCACAGTAAAAATGTCATATTAAAGCAGTGGGCAAATAAATGAAATATAAATGAGAATAATCCCTGGAAAGAAGTGTCAAATAATGCAGCCACACAAATCATTCTATTTACATCTTCTTTGGACTAGACTATTTAGATTTAATCAATGACCAGAAATATTCACCATGGATGGTAATGTGTTTTGGAGATGTGCTTTTTCCTAATTATATTTCCTTGCACTTTTTCTGACTGTGCTAATTTCCTGTCATCCCATTTACACACATGAAATAAATATGTATGTATTTTTATAACTATAAAGAAATGAGATTGGTAACATAAACCAAAAATGAATGCAGTTTTATTGTTTTATAAGCATAATCATATACTGGAAATTATTTTATTTTAGAAGATATATGAGGCAGATCTAATTGAAATCATCATTTTATTAGTGAAATGTTTACCTTTTACAAGAGCAATGGGTAATCAACACTGGTGTTAAGATATGCAAAGAAGTAGTCGTAAGGTCTACCAGACTGAAACTTGCAAGATGATCTCTATTAACTACAACTTTTTTATATATATTAAAAATATCATTTATTTTGTGTTCATATTTCCAGCATCACAACAGTTTAACTTTAATGAATCCCATTACTGCATATTACAATAAGAGTTTGCTTCTTTGAATTGTACTTTGAGATATTGATTCAAATTTTTATATTTCAAAAAGCACTGGACATTTTTTCAAAAACCTTGTGTTTTTAAATTATAATGATATTGTTTATAATGTTTTGCAATACATAAAAAAGTATTATAGTTTAATACATTTTCTTTCAAACAGAATCATTTGTGACTTTATAGTATAATGTTGCCCTTATATTCACGATGCAGCTTATTTTTAGGTATTTTTCTAATAAGAGCAATTATTTCAAAATTGTTTAGCTGAATCTTGTCATTAAATATCAAAGAATGATGCTTCACTTCCTTCTTAATACATCAAATACATGTAAGAATTATATATGGATTCATACTTCATTCACCTTTTGACTTGAGGATTTCTACAAATATACCATCCTTACATTTCCTGACTTTGTTTTCTTATAAATTTCCACCTTTCATGGCCCATTTTATGTTCATCTCAGCTAAGAGCTAACAATATAAACAATAAGTACTGCTTTCAGAAACGACAGCAGTGTTTTTCACAAAAACATTTGTACATTTATGCTAAATGTTGTACATAGATGCCACAGAAGAAAAAATTTATAAGAGAAAATAAAAAGAGTAACTTATGAATAAAAAGAGTAACCTATGAACAGCTACTTTGGTTCAGGTTAAGGGAATCAGCACAAGATCCTTTGAATTCTATTGGTGGTAATGAGTACTGTGGGTTGTGGTGAATAGTTGAATGAGGTGGCAGAACAAACAATGGATACCCTATATCTGTTTAATCTATTTTAAAGTCAGACACAGAAAAACTAGGAGGCAATTTCAGCAACGTGAAACTTTCTCTAAAGGGACACTAAATAATGATCGTTTCTATAAGGTTCTAATTCTAGAACTGTGTTCTTAAGGGTCATAGAAGCATAGAGATGAAAGTTACCTTAAAAATACATTATATTCAGATTCCTTCATTTTTTACAAATGAGGAAAACCAAGGCCAAAAGAACAAGATTGATTTATATAATGTAACTGGTCTTTATCACCTAGATTGAAATTTTCCTACTATTCCATGGTTGAACATAAATAATAAATAGCAAATAAATATCAAAACATAAATCTGCTACTTTTTTGAGTCCTTACATTATTTACTGAAGTCCTATAATACATTGTGCTATCTCATGTGTGTCTATATATATGCATGGGTGGGTATATAGCAAGAAAAATACTGGACTAGTGATGTAAAGGAGGTCTTGGTTTAGTTCTTTTTCTGCTACACACAAGCATGGTAACCCTAGAAGAACTAGGGAAAATTATTTAACCTCTCTGGGTCTCAATTATTTCATCTAAATTGTGAAAATATTCAACCAGATTTATATAATTTTCCACCCCTATAATTCTCAAGGTTTTTAAAAATAACCCATATACGTTTTTTTTTTCTTTTTGTATTTATCTTTTTACGGAGAACACTACATCCTAGATACCAAAATAGCCTATCCAAATGAAAAAAAAAATTGTCAAGAAAACCTCGTGAGTTAAGGTTTGAAAATGTATTTGCCCTTAGTTAATATCCTGCAGCTCAGTACACAAAAGATGAAAAATGGCTTATCAACAAATACATTCATAAGAAAGGAAAAAAGAATAATCTCAAAATAGGTAATTTATTTCCAGATAACTTTTGTGAAAACAGAAATTTTTTTCTATTATTCATGTATTTCAAAGATCTGAAATCAATGTTACCAAATACTGACAAAATTAACAGATACAGTCATTGATCTCCAGAGAATGGAATGTGTACCCCGTGTTATAACTGAGGTATCTGTCTAGAAACTCATTTTCTAAAGGATTAATTGCTATCCAAAAATGTACTGTAGCCAAAGCTACAAAGGAAGATTTCCAAAACACCAATACTCTTTATTACTGTTTATGGGTTATATAGGCTGTCACTGAATTCCTCTCTCTTATTAAGTGATAACAGTAGAAAGATACAGTGAACAGAAATTTTGATTTTTAAAATAAAAAACCAGCTCTTAAATGTGGCTGATTAGAGGAAATTCTAACAATAAAATAAATTGAGGATTTCAAGCTATTAGATTTTACTTATCTAACCTCTGAGTGATCCCTATTATCATTTGTCATTATTACTATCTATATGTTTGATGATGCTATTTGTTCAAGGATGAGACTTTCAAATTTGAATAAACAGGCAGAGGGATCAAAACCATGAGTTTTTCTATAAATTCATTAGGAGTGCTAATATATAAGCAATCACTTATAATTGTATCATTGAATCTTTTTTCCTTCTTTAGACTGTAAAAAAATGAAAACAGACAAGGTGATGTTAGTCCCTCTCAATACAAGTTTGCATAGTATTGCAGTAAACATGTGAGAGAAAGTTGACTATCTTCAATGGCACAGTTGAGGTTTTCTCCTAAATTACTTCCTCAAAACATTGAAGAAAATAGTGCTTCTGAATGGGTTGTTTGTTATCTTTCAATAGAATATTTTCTCTTATTTTTTTCAAGCCACCGTTTTACAAAAAAAATTCTATAAATAAGTATTTTTACTTCTAACATTAACTGAAACCCTTCTTGATATTGAATAGGGAAACAAATTGTCTTTAAAGCTTCCTGGAACTCATTTCAGGTTTATTACCCAAAGCTGACCATCACAATAACTGGTGGAGAACATCCTGTTAGTATCAGAAACCATCAGGCAAACTGTCCAGCTCTTTCATTTTTCTTGACAAATACCTAGTGGTCTCTATCTGGGAACCTTATTGCCTCTCTCAATTTGCTTTCAGTGCCGTCACGTCACTATTGCAAGATATTTTTGTTTTCAGAATTTAGCTGGCAGCAGAATAATTAAAGAGAGCAATGTTGAAACAAAAAAAAAGGTGTAGTATTTAAAAAACTGTCATTACTTTTCAAATTATAGTCTTTAATAAAGGGGTGAGGGACTTTTTCTTCTTAATTTATAATTCCGGTTTCTCACCACTGTGTTGTCTTCATTTCATTTTTTTTCTTACTACTTTTTTACTCAAGGTTAATTTTTAAAAAGCATAGGTAGTTTAGCCTGTCTTTGAAGTTAATTCACAATTATTAATATGTAGTTACTAAGAAGATAAAGAAAGAAATCAGTCCTCACGTTTTTCCTGCTCACATTCTGGTCCTTACAAATAAGAGTTAAGAAAGAAAAATAATACAGATTTCTTAAAAATGAATGACATATATTTCCTATTGAATATATCTTTAAAATGATTTGGTATCTTCAAATTCTATGTTATGATTTTCCAGATCCTTCTATTATTTCTAATATTAATTTATACTGCTTTTAAATATTTCCATAGAAAATTTATTAATATTTATTAACATTTCCAGTATTGAAATCCTTATATTGTCGGGATGATTCTGATTTTAAAATGTAAATAACTGAATGGTTATTTCAATCTGACTTTTTGCATTAATGTTTACTTATTAAAAATTAAAATCTCATTGTATTATTATAAACATTATTATCCTATTCTTTGTAAAGCCAGTTTTTACTTAAAACAGTTCTATTCATTTCAAAAAATAATGATTTTTTACTCCATTCCATTAACAAGGAAAAAACTTTTAGACCACCAATCACATATCTATTTTCTAACTAACATAAATAAGTTTCAACAGTAGCCAGTGCTATTGATTGAAAATATATTTCAATAAATGTTACCTGCGCATCAAGCAGATAAAACAGTAAATGAAAAGTACACATTTTCAGACACTTTTATTTTCCTTACTCTTTCAATGTTTGCATTACAAAAAAAATCCTGCCCAACTTTGTTACAGTTAATATGGTATCTGCCTTTTCTTCTGCCAAATTCTATTTAAATTTTTAATGAGGCAAATGTTTTATTTGACTAAATTAATTTTGCATTCATTATCTTCAGTTTAAATACATCATCACAATAAAAAATAAGGTAGACTAGTTTCTTAGTTTAGGCTGCTACATCAAAATACCTCAGGCTAAGTAATTTATAAGTAACATAAATTTATTGCTTACAGTTCTGGAGACCAGCAAATCCAAGATCAAGGGCCCAGCAGATTAGGTGTCTTGTGAGAGATCTTCTTCTGCTTCACAGACGGTGCCTTCTTGCTGAGTCCTCGAATGGCAGAAGGGGCAGGCAAGTTCCCTTGGGCCTGTTTTATAAGGGCACTAATCCTATCCATGAGGACAGAGCCCTCATGACCTAATCATCTCCTGAAGGCCCCACCTCTTAATACCACCAGAATGGGAATTCAGTTTCAACCTATGCAGCGGGGTAGGAGGGGACACAAACATTCAGACCTTCCCAATTATCAACCAATAGTTTCATTTAAAGTGAGTGCTTTCTGGATCAAGGCTAAATGTTTAATTAGACTAATAGAAGCAAACAGAAAATTCCATTTTTCTAGGATCTTTCAATCAAAACCTTCATAATAGGAATGATGATTCCAATATATTAAAAATAATTGGTATTTGCATTACTTTGCACCAATGAAAAAATTTAATTTACTCAGGTTTACAGAGGAAAAGGAGGAAAGTGCTTTAATATTTGGTGCCTCGTAGAGAGTAAAATTTATAGCGTAGGTCAGTATGTTAGAGTCCTAATACAAAATCTTTGATTTGTATGTAGTGTCCAAGGGTTTTTCTTTCAGCAGTACATTTGTCATGAGTTCACCTGATATGTCATCCCAAGTTGTAACAATACCCAAGGTGGCAGTTATCTCAGAGAAGTCCAAAGTAAACTTTCTGTTAGAAAATACTATTTTAAAAAGATGTTTCATTTACACTGAAGTCATAAAAATGTTGCAAAGCTTTTACATGTAAATATTTGTTCATTTTCATATTATATTTCAATTAATATAATAACTTTCCACATTCTGCCCTTTCAAAACTGGAATACAAGATTAACATCTACAAAACAGTGATCTCCAAGGAAAATAATGCCCTATTATCAACAAGATACAAAAATGATGTCCATGTTTAATAAGTTTCATCAAAGATAATTTCATTGCCACTTGAATTGAACCAAAAAACCAAAATAAATACTGATGACCTTACCTTCTTGAACTGCTTGGAAAGGGTTGTTGCCATCAACAAACGTCACTGAAAATGTGATTTTCTCAGTCTGTAAGATCTCCTCATTCTGGTTAAGGTCACCAACCGCAGTGCGAAATACCTCATCATCCTTTTTGGCAGATTCATCAAAAATTGCTCCTAGAAAGAAGTGAATTTTGCCATTAAATAATAACATAAATATTCTGTCATCCCCTCTGGAAATATGACAAGGAGACTTATGTGTTTAAAAAACATATACTTTCACTTAGAGCATGCACTTTATTTATTAATGAAACACATTGTACTGGAAGCAGTGTAATAGCTGAGAAGGAATATAGTTACTTCTTCCAAATGGAATGATAAATAGTACCTCAAAGTGTTATTGCGGGGAGGTCATGGGGAAGAAAACATAATAGGTATAAAAAGCTTCTACATGACAAAGTATCCAATACATTGGATATCTTATATCATGAAATTTTTAAGGAATTCATAGCTGGAAGATTTCTTTTCTGAATAAAAGGAAATAACCTCAGAAAACTTCTTGAGGTCCATTCATAGAATATATAGGAATCAAACCTTTCTTGCGATCTTAATTTATTTTTCATTTCCTTCCTTTCTTACTCCCCCCATTTTTTTGAACACGGGTTTCATTATCTTTTATAATAGTAAAGTCAATAATATTTATAGAAAATGTAAAGACATTCAAATCTCTGTGCAGAGGGAATGGATAAATATTTCTCAAGGAACTAATGTAAGTCCTAATGGATAATTATAGCATTTTTTATCCATGTGTAAATATGATGATGATAAACACTGTGCTAACTTTTATTGACTATTTGATTGGTAATGGAATATTTGGTAAACACATTGATTCTAAGAGCAAACTGATTTTAAATACTGACCGTCACTTGTTAAGTATACGACCTTGAGCAACATGCTCAAATTCTACACCTCACATTTGTCTAACCTCACATTGTATGTATTAAACACATTTGTCTAAACCTCACGTTGTGTGTATTAAACACATTTGTCTAAACCTCACATTGTGTGTATTAAACACATTTGTTTAAACCTCACATTGTGTGTATTATCATTATATACACAGTGTGTATTATAAAGCCAGTGTGGAGCTGGCTTTATCTTTTCACTGCTCTTTTTGTTTGGTTGGTTGGTTGGTTGTTTTTGAGATGGAGTCTTGTTCTGTCGCCTAGGCTAGAGTGCAATGGCGTGATTTCAGCTCATTGCAACCTCCGCCTCCCGGGTTCAAGCCCTTCTCCGGCCTCAGCCTCCCGAGTAGCTGGGATTACAGGTGCACGCGAACACACTCGGCTATTTTTTTGTGTGTTTTTAGTAGAGACGGGATTTCACCATTTTGGCCAGGCTGGTCTCGAGCCCCTGACCTCACGTGATCCACTTGCCTCAGCCTCCAAAAGTGCTGGGATTAAAGGAGTGAGCCGCTGTGCCTGGCCATCACTGCTCTTTTATATTGGCATGGATTGTATCAGTCTCCTCAAGCCATAGCCTTGTTTCCTATATATTTTGAATACCTGTCCATGGCTGAGAACTTGAGAGAAACTAATGAAGAATTTTTTTTTTTTTTTTTTTTTTTTTGAGACGGAGTCTCACTCTGTTGCCCAGGCTGGAGTGCAGTGGCGCCATCTCGGCTCACAGCAAGCTCCGCCTCCCGGGTTCACCCCATTCTCCTGCCTCAGCCTCCCAATTACCTGGGACTACAGGCACCTGCCACCGCGCCCAGCTAATTTTTTTTTGTATTTGTAGTAGGGACGGGGTTTCACTGTGTTAGCCAGGATGGTTTCGATCTCCTGACATCGTGATCCACCTACCTCGGCCTCCCAAAGTGCTGGCATTACAGGCGTGAGCCACCGCGCCTGGCCAGAATTTTTAAAATTGACATATAAATTGAGTACTTCCTTAATATGTTATCAGATGTTTACTAGTGAGAATATTATTATTTTATTAATCAAATATATATTATAGACTTTAATTTTTACTTAACCTGTCTTTTCTGAACCAGATAATGCTTTTTAATCTAAGCTCTTGTAAAAACATTTAGACAATAAATGTTTGACCTATCTTGCTAATTTAAGCAGCTTTCATAAGAATTATTTTAATATGTGATAATCCTTTGTAGATCTAGATTAATCATTACATTGAAATTTAATACTCTCAGGTTTAGATATACAAATTTCTTTAATAGTTTGTTAGGAAGTATGATACAAATTTTTTACAATTGAAGCTGAAATAACCAATTCATTTTAAACCAGATAATCTAAATGTCTATTCGCAAAGTAGTAATGTGTGTTTATACAAAGATGTTTCAAGTTGTCGTGGGTTCTAAATGAGTCTTTAAAAAAGGGCTTCTTATCAACCTTGTTTTATAGCAGGTGACGTTATTGACTTCTGCTGTATTGGTAATACATTTTTGATGGAAGCATTTTACTATTACATGGCAGAACACTTAATATTGCCTTAAACATTAAACTTGGGTTAATAAACAGCAGAAACCTGCAGAAATGATAGCACATTAGTCAATCCTTTGCAGAATTAAGATATACTGAAAAAATGGATAAAAGAAACAGTTCATCTTTCTGCAAACAGCAAGGAAGTACACAGAAGAAACAGTTCATCTTATTGCAAACAGTGTAATCAAAGAACAGAAAATCTTATCCAACATTTCAAATCCCAGTTATTTATTTACTTTTTTCTTCAGCTATAAAAATCTCATCTTAAACTGACTTTGTACTACAGGAGTGCATGCAGTATTTTGTCTTCAACACAAGCATTCTGAAAACAATGTGATTAGTTCCACAGGAAGGATCCTGGGACAGAAATTCCTTTCTAATTTCACCCACTTCCAATAGTCACAGCAAAGTCATCTCTATTCTTTGTATTAATATACAAATATTACCAATCTAGATAATCCAATACTATAGGTACTAGATCTACTTTGTTAACTATATAGTTGCTCAAATGTAACATTCTTAACTATGTAGTTAACATGATGTCAAAGCATCTAGATCCTTCTCAGGTATTTTTATTAGCATGATTTTACACTCAGTTTTATTTTATAACCTTCATGGGAAAAGCAGATTAGACCTGTCAATATAAAATAATTATTCCACCACTGACACACACACACACACACACACACACACACACACACACACACAGCATTTCATCAGTACTCTCTATATATTTCTTATTGGCCAAACTGAAGGGAAGAATAACCAATCAATAAAGCAGGAAAGGAACACCTCCTGAATATTCCTATTACAGCAATTTTTAGTCATTTCCATCACTAAAGGTTGATATTCTGTTCCTTTTATGGGGGGAGAAATAAAGGCTTTATGTAATCCTTATACAAACATACTGACATGCAAGTGGCCAAAATATATATTTTTAAATGAAAACTATATCATGTTTACATGTCTTCTTATATCTTAGAAAAATATTAATGTTTATGAGTTTGTACTACATGTAATGCTACTGAAAACAATTTTCACGGACTAATGGACCAATTAGCATATATATGAAAAAAATACCAAATTTAGACAAAGTTCTACAAAAATATAATTGTCAACTTAATTACAATTTATAGTAATATTAAAGCAATGATAATGGCTTAAATTTTCATTGTGAAGTGTCATATGTAAAAGTATTAATGCAGGTATGCCCTTTGAAAATTCATAAATTATTGTACAATTCAAAGCTAACTGACAAGCTACAGTACTTCTGTTAAAAAAACATAATTATGTTTTAGAAAGGTATTTAAATATTCCCAAAATACATATACTTACTTGCCAATTTTTAAAATGACAATCCAAATTTCTTCTTTTAACCTAATAGATATATGCTTGGTGTCTGTGTGTGTGTATGTGTGTGTGTGTGTGTGTGTGTGTGTGTGTGTGTGTGTAGATTTTTTGTGCTTGAAATAAGTCAGTACTTCAGATCATAAAATCATTTCACCCAAAAATACATTCACAAATATGCCTTTTAAATAAAATATTTATAAGTTCACTAACCTAACCAACTCAACAAGTCTCCAAACATTCGAAGATTTTTCTCCTTCTTGGTTTTATTTTTGGTGTTTCCTCTACCACAGAGGTAGTCCTTATCAATTAGCAAAATATAATTTCCTAGGCCATATAATCTATTTTTATACTTACACTGTGTATAAAAGAGCCTGAATAGTTTAGACACTCAAGAATCATTGATTAAATCTTTTTAACATTAAATTAGGTATAATCTTATAAAATAGATATAATCTTATAAAATAAAATACCTAAATTCAGATGTATGGATAAAATATAAGTTACACCTAAACCTAAATTAAAACAAAAGTAGACTTGAAAATGTACTTGCATGTTAATTTGTTGTCACAGGCATTATTACGATTCCAGAAAACCCAAGTTAGCAAGGTAATAATCATACACAAGGTAATTAATAATCATACTAAAAACTTGCATTTTAGTTTGAATATTGAAAATTTTGTGTCTTATAAATTTAAGAGGCAAGTGGAGTAAACATTATTTACCTGATAAGATAGTAGAGAAAAAATTATGTGTTCATCCTGCACATAATTTCCTCTAACAATATTGAGAAAAAATTTGATATATCTTGAAGAAATTTTCCACAGCGAATAGAATTATTGGAAGATATACATATTCTATAACAACCTTATCAAGTTGTGTTTAAAATAAAAGACTCTAAATATTGAAACCAAGCATCAACACATCTACATTCCTCTTGCAAATCAATAGCATATCATCTAGAAAAACTTATATAAAAACATTTGTGCATAAATATTTCGTTGGATTTCATAATTCCAAATAAAATCAAAGATAGCTGATCTTTATTTTTTAGTCAGAAAGTTCAAACTTTTTAATCTCTTTACTCACTTAATTTTGACTAACATATAAATTATATATGGTAGGTAATCATAAAAGGAATAAACTTAACTGAAAGTTAGCAAAGATGCTACATGCAATGAATCTTTTATTTTCTTTTTAACAACAGAGATGATTCTTTTGTGCATGCTCTCACTCTCTCTACCCCCCAAATTTTTCCCCTCACTTTTTCTCTTTGTGTTCACACATTCATGCATCCAGCCATTCATCCATCTATTCATCAAACCAATCTTTCCTAAACACAGAGAAAACCATCAAAGCCAAGCCACTGTGCTCTTTAACAAATTATTTAGTGGCCAAATATTTGAAATGGGTTAAGTGTTTAATAAAGCCATAGTGGAAATAAGATGCCATAAGAAGATCATGAAAAGAAGGAATCATGTTGTTTTTGTAAACTCATAGCTGAAAGGAATTTTAGAGATGGTTTATGAAAACCTTCTCATGCTTCATAAATTGTAGTGCAAACATTTTAAATGTTTTCACCCAAATTACACAGCCAAAGGTTACAAGATGTAGAGTAGGAGGTTAGGTGTCCTTGTTTCAAGTTTGGAGCTATGTCTGCCATTTTATGCTTTTTTCACTTTAAGCATTTTTTTTTATGGTGGCTATATATAGACAGAGGGTACATCAGTACATATATGTGTGTGCATATACACATATACATATATATTCAATAAATAGTACTATAATGATGATTAGCATATTAAATCCATTTATTTTAAGCCATGAAGGTTATAAAATTGATGAAATGTAGTAAAATGCTGATCGTAAGACTAGTTTTACATGAAATTTAATTCCTTTGCCTGAGAAGCTTCAAAAACTTTAGTTTAGGAAGTTAAAATAAAGAAAAAAGTGCAACCTTCTGCCTTGGGGAGTTTATTAGTCACAGTAGGATTTACAGTTCTGCAGAGCTATTCAGAATTGTTAAATCATCATATATCCTTTCTGTTTTAGATGCTACTATTCACAAGTGAGTTTTTAATTTAATTCTGACAATGCATTTTGCATACACGTTAGTTGCACTGTAAGCATATATCCAAGTCAAGAGATTTATAACATTTTTTTCATCTACAAATGGCATTCCTACAATTGCCAGTGGAAATTATACAGGCATTTTAAAAGGAGGGCAAATAATAAAAGGCATTATAAATATTGTAAAAATCAGATTTCTCCTTTATTTCATTGTCTCATTCATGTTACCCTCAGTTCAAGGAGAAAAAATGTTAAGCATGTTCAAAACTACTAGGTAGTAAGAGAAATTAGCAGTATTATGACCAAAAGAGATTAGCGTTTTTGATACAATTTAGTATCTTTACTTAAGCATAGATAGTATCTTTGACACCAATAAGCATCTTCACTTAGCATAGTATCAGCTACTATTTCAGTGGGATATCATTACAATGAAGGTGAAGGCAATGTTTGTACATATATATATATACATATATGTGTATATAAATATATACACATATATATGCACATATGCATATGTGTATATATTTATGTAATACATGTTCATGTTTATATATTTATATTACACATGCACAAATAGGTACATTTATTACATACTCACATATATATTACAACTGTGTATATGTAATGAATGTACATATGTGTGTATGTAATAAATGTGCTTATTTGTGCGTGTGTTTATATATAAATTATATGTATATTATATATGTGTATGTGTGTGTATATATATATATATAATTATTATCTGCTCAGGAAATATTAATTAAGTTGATATATCATTCACAATTTAATTCTGTATTACAAATGTTTCAGCAGCCTCTTATTTAACAGAACATTTCCTAATATGTTCTATGCTAATATCCTTGCAGGCATGAAATAGGGTTTTCAGAACCCTGTATCTTTTTATCATGAGGTATATTTTTCTCAGTTCATCTTATCTAACCCTTCACAAGCACTCTGACTGACTAAAGAAGGAAACCAAAACAATGACTCTAATTGTTGGAAAGGAGGTGCTGGATATACATCAAATTCATGACAATTAGCAAATATTATTCTGAATTAGAGACAATTGTGCTCTGTTGTGTTTCTCTCCAATTTATAATAATTGAAATATTAGAAACACTGGCAGTTAATATTTTTTAGTACTAGGAACTGTACTAAGTGGCTCATAGACATTATTTTATTTAGTTCTGATAAAAACCCTTTGAGGGAAATGAAACTCAGGTTAAGTAACTTTCCCTAGGCCCAAGCTAGTAATAATTGCTGCAGAATCCACAGCTCTCAGTTTCTTAGCAATCTTCTGAAAACACTAGAAGCTTAATAACTGGCAATATATACATTAAAACAAATTTCCAGATAAGAAAATAATATGTATATTTTTACTTTCATAATAATATATATAGAGAGAGACAGAGTCTTTCTCTGTCACCCAGGCTAGAGTGTAATTATACAGCCATGGCTCACTGCAGTCTCAATCTCCCCGACTCACCTGATCCTCCTGTCTCTGCTCCCTGAGTAGTTGGAACTACAGGGGCATGCAACCAAGCTTGGCTAATTTTTAAATTTTTTGTAGAGACTGGGGTCTCACGTTGTTGCCCAGGCTTATCTCGAACTTCTGAGCTCAAGTGTTCCTCACTTGAGAAACTATACTATCACTGTACCTCTGCATCCCAAAGCGCTGAGATCACAGGCATAAGCCACAACACCCATCATTTCATAATAATTATAATAAAATTTTATTGTATATTAAAATTCTCAAATAGGTTTCAGTCTTACATTTTGTTTTATAAAATTTTATTAATTAGGCATATTTTTATAAAATTTCTAGTACTTTTTGCATACTTTGAAGTTCAATATTTGTCTCAGTGATTTAATTTATACTATATCAGAAGTTGATTTACCTGTTTTTATACAAACTTTATATTTAAGGGTGTTTAGGGATAATTAATATATATAAAGATGTAAATTGATATGAATTTCTAAACCTTAGTTTAAATAACAATCTTTGCAGTTACCTTGGAATAGTGTTAAGTGAGTTCCAATAGAATATGGACTATGACATATTTTTAAATGCAGAATTCAGAACAAATCTCTAGCCTTTCAATTTCTAAGGAGTTTTGTTGTTGTTGTTGCTTACTTTAGTGACGAATAATCCTAAGAGAGTGACAATAAAATATAAAATAAAAATTGTATAAAATATATAAAGTTATTGACTTTATATATTAAGGAACATTGATAATTTACTTAGGTCTATAATATTCAAATTGTGGCCAGGTACAGAAACTATCTGGCTCGTTATTTTCCACTGTCTAGTGCTTACTTAGCACTTTGTTCTGAGAGTTCAAAGTGCCTTATAATATTAACTTCCATTCCACCCACCATAATTAGTTAGCCTATAGGAAAGCATCATTTTTATTTTAAACATAGGAAATCAAGTTCAAAGAGGATATTGTCAAGATCACAGAGGGTATTAGTTATGATATAGTGTAGAAAGGTATGAGTGGAAGGAGAAAATTCCACGCAGATATTTAAAATGATTATACAGAAATCCTTGAATGTGCATTGTAATTTACATTTAGCTAGTGTCCGAAATATTTTTAATAATTCAGACACCTTTAAATTCTGTTTTCTTCAATATATTTTTGATATAGTGACTTAAAATGAGAAGGTCTAAATCATAGACCAAGAAGAGAAATTTTCAGTACTGTCTCCAGAGATTTCTCCAGAGATTTATGTTTGAATGTGACATTTGCTCATAGTGTGAAATAAGTCAAATTCAAAGGGATTCTTCATTCTAACACAAGACCCTTTTCTTAGCCTTACTCTCCAATAACATGTGAAATCACATTTCGTTTGGAAAACCTGTATAGTTATCCAGAAACCCAAAGCACATTTAAACTGATAATACTATCACTGGAAAAGTCTGACTGCTGTGTGTCTTCCAGAAGTATGTGGGAGAAAAGGAAATGTAGGGTGCTTGCCTAAGGAACAGGTAAGCTGAGTCATCCACATGGAGCATAGTAAGAGGTTAATTTTTAAAATAATTTCATGTTGGAATATCAATCCTCTCAGAATAGTTTATGCATTTTATACTAGTTTAGTGAATAAACATTTCAAAGATCAATTCTTTGAATAGGAATACTTTGCAATTTTTTAAAGAGTACTTGTGACTATTTCTAAAAAAAAAAAAAAAAGGGTGGGGGGACTGGACAGTGAAAGCTCAAATATCTGGATTTTTTCTTGTATAAAGGCAGCAATGTTTAACTCTAAATTAGTTTACATCTCTTCTTACTGAATCCGTGAAGATTCAACCAGAACCTTGTGTGCTATGTTGCAGTCTCTTTCTCTATTGCATACATCTAATTGAAACAATATCCTATTATTACAAAATTCTGCCATGACAAGAACAAAAAGAATTGGTTTGACAATAGACACTTTGAACACTGCACACCAATTCAAATTCTTCCCAAACTGACCTGATGCATTTAAAAAAAAAAAAAAACAAATAGGCAAAAAGCTGATAAGGTAGCTACTGAAAAGTATGTTCATGGAGAAAAGTTGCAGATATTTTTAGAAATTGAACAGATTTAACATTTTTCTTCTTGTAACAATTTACTCTACCTTTTTAGTATTACCTTCAACTTCCACAAAAAAAATGTGAGAATTGGCCTATACTACTATAAGTAAAATCATATGCCAAAGAAATATCTGTATGAAACCATAATGTGAATGTGATCCTCTTAGAAGGGTCAAACTCATTTTGCACACAAATAATATAGTGTAGGCTGTCTTCTACAGAGTAAAAATTCTAATTTTATGTTTAAGACAAAAATTTACTCTACTTTGAGATGAAAAATCATTTTACCTATCTGAATGGGCCAAAATAAATAAGTTTCTTGTAATTGAGCATTTTAAAACTTCTGTAAACTACTGTTTTAGTTCTAAAGTAACAGATTGCAGCCTGTAGAATATTTCAGGTAGGAAAATGGTACTCTTCCAATATAAATCTCAAACTTCATAATTTATTAACTCTGAACTCATTTGTAATTTTTTTCTTCTTCTTTATTACATGAATGTACATTTAACTAGCAACAATGAAGATTTTACAGATATCCACTGATTATTTTTCCAATATGTCCTATAAAATATACAGATATTTCCAGGGAATTGCCATGTAAAATATTTCAAAAGCATTAAGAAAACAGAAATTCTATTATAACTGTAGACTAGACAACTGTAAAGGAGACATGAGTTTCCCTCAGAAGGACGGCAAATTTTCTAGGTATTTATTAGCTGCAATATATATAACAGCAAATTATACTATATATATATTTATATGTATATATGTAGATATGATGAAATTAACTGAGTCCATTATACTATATATAAAATATATATGTAAAATACATATACATATATAAAATATATACACATATATAAAATATATATATTATATACATATGTATACATATATAGTATAATAGACTCAGTTTCATCTTTTAAGATCTGTATCATAGTCACAGTCTCTGACATTTTGTATATCAATTACTTAAGAAAAATCAATTTCTAAATAGTATTTTAATAATAACTTGCTAGAAAATAAACCTTACAAAATGGTCAAAGTTGTGTATGCTTGCCACTGTAAGTTTTATTCATACTAAGAAAAAAGAAATAATGTTTTTAAACTTTATCATTTTTGTAGGTTATCTCTCTTAATCCTCATTTTACAGTTGAGGAGACTAAGAATCAGAAAAGTTAGATGAATTACTTAATCACATGCTAAAACATACATGATATAGGACTTAAATCTAAAACTCTCTGGGTTCCAAGACCTATAGTTTTTATCCTATATAAACTGTATCTATGTTAAAAATGTAGTCCATTCTTGAGAAAAAATATTCTGCTTTTGGAATAATGTGTTAGGGAAAGAGAAAAACAGTGAATGCCTTCAAACTGTGTTCTTAATTTATTTTCTTAGACAGTTTGACACCAAGACATGGAATGTAGTAATCCTCTTTTGAAGAAAAAGAAACAAAAAAGAGCTGGAAAGAGTGAATAATTTATAAATGATTTGTGGGCCATGTTAAAAGCGATGATAGAGTATACACTGTGGCCTTTTAAACACATATTGAAAAATTATCTAAAAGTCAAAATATGTCCAGCAAGAATGTTTACTTATGGAACTTGATATTAAGTAATTTACCACAGAGCTCAAGTTAAAAAAAATAAAATAAAAGTCACGTTTGGATAAATTCTTATGCCCTCCTGGTGTATGAAGACCATAGTTGAAGTACATAAGGGAAACATAAGGAGATTTCTCGGGATCTTCTACTATGATATATATCTTAAGACTTCAGATTAAAACTCAAAAAATATTGTTGTTTAAATAAAAAAGAAACAAGTTTCCTTCCTTTAACATAAGCTATAAAGCAAATTGGCAAACATTTGTATCTGTGAATTCTGGTTTTTTGGTAAATAGATGAAAATTTACAGTGACCTCGATGTGCATTTCAGTGTTTTGAAAATTGTGATCTAATGATGAAGTAATCTGGTACTACATTATTAAGAGTTTGAACAAAATATATATGATGCATGTCAAAATGGTAATTACAAGAATTCAAATATGTAGATAGATAGATAGATAGATAGATAGATAGATTGATAGATAGATAGATAATGATATTTTTGTTGTTGAAATGAGTTTGCCCAGACTGGTCTTGAACTTCTGAACTCAAGCAACTGCCTCAGCCTCCAGAGTGACTGGGATGACAGGTGTGAGTCACTAGGCCATGCTTCCATAAATTTCTGAAGATGTTATTCTCTATTTAATTATGTTGTTTTCCATATATCTTTTGCTTTATTAAAGAGGTAGCTTTTCAAGCTTTAGGCAGCCAGACCTGAGAGGCTCTATCTTTTAATAATTCCATTTTAAATAAAAATGATGAGTTCATGTCCTTTGTAGGGACATGGATGAAATTGGAAATCATCATTCTCAGTAAACTATCGCAAGGACAAAAAACCAAACACTTCATGTTCTCACTCATAGGTGGGAATTGAACAATGAGAACACATGGACACGGGAAGGGGAACATCACACTCTGGGGACTGTTGTGGGGTGGGGGGAGGGGGGAGGGATAGCATTAGGAGATATACCTAATGCTAAATGATAAGTCAATGGGTGCAGCACACCAGCATGGCACATGTATACATATGTAACTAACCTGCACGTTGTGCACATGTACCCTAAAACTTAAAGTGTAATAATAATAATAAGAAAAAGAAGAAGAAGAAGAAGAAGAAGAAGAAGAAGAAGAAGAAGAAGAAGAAGAAGAAGAAGAAGAAGAAGAAGAAACTAAGTTTCAGAAAATTTTAGTAAGTCATCCCAAATCTTCACTTGAACCTTGGAAAAAACACCATTTAATTTATGTGAGATTCTCACTGAGACTTTGAGGCCAGCTAATCCCATCGTGATTCACCACTGGCATCTTTGCTTACCGCCCAAAATGTATATCTCTAACCATTCATCAGCTCCTCATTTTCTTTATATTGTTTTTCCTTTGACAAAAGCCCACCATACCTTTACACAATGCTAATTGTTCTCCACTCTGACCACCTAATTCCATGGTAATTCCATTTCATTAATATTTTCAACTCCTTTATAGAAGAATCCTAGCTTTTATTAAATTCTAGCTTTCTCTAGAGGACCTTGCTCTTCCTGTAGTCCTTTCAACTGGAGATTTATTTTTTCACATACCAAGTCCTGTTACAACCAGCTAACATTGCTTAGCTCCTCAAAAACAATGCCAAACAGTTACTCTTCCATTATGGAGTAAAATCATCTCTTCTGAATCCCTTGCCATTTAACTGTCCTACCCTCTGATCCTTCTCATCACTGTCACTTGACTACCTCCTGCCCAGATGACTAAGTTCATTTTGTAAATTGAAACCTGGTTCAACATCTTTCTCTCTGTCCTCGGTCCTACCATCATCCTTGGTGATAACAGTTGACTTATTTACCTTAGTAACAACTCAATCTCATTTTTCTTAATCCTAATGTTTATACCTCCACTAAACCCACAGCCAGTGACAGGTCCCTGACATCCCCTGTATACTCTATATGAGAAATCTTGAAATCTATTATCTAACACTCTACACAGTCTTTTTTTCAAGACTCATTCCATTACATCTGTTCTTCAGCCACAAAGAAACTTCCAGTCCCCTGATCACTGAGTTGATGGAGATTCCATTTTACAGAAACAGTGATAACTGACAAAGTAACAAGAGGTAAATCAATGGTTCCCTTTCGAATATGCTATGCTTCTGAAGCCTATTAAAATCAAAATGGAGAATTTATGTTGGCAATTAAATATGTAGAAAATGGAGCTTAAGAGAAAGATGTCTGAACTGCAGACATATATTTGAAAGTAATCAAGGTACCTTTGGAAATTAAAAATCTGAGACAAGATGTTATCATATTAAAAAATAGCCCAAAGAGAAAGAAGAGGGGCTAGAACAGATCCCAGACCCAGAATGAAAAAAAGCAGGGTGGGGCAACGGCACACCCAGGAGCAATGGCCCACCCAGGAGCAACAGAGCCAAGGGATCTCCAATACCAGCTAAGGGAAGCGATGAGTGATTGTGTGATCCCAGGAAACCACACTTCTACCACAGAGCTTTGCAAACCATGGATCAGGAGGTCCCATCATGGGCCCATGCCACCAGTGTCTGACACACTAAGCTGGGCAAAGTCTCAGGAGACCAGATGCTCAGGCACATGCAGAGATCCAGGAGCTTTACATACTCCAGCCCCAGGAACCCTGGCAAGGTTGTCTGCAGCTCAAGCAAGGCAGAAGGTCCTTCCTAGGAGATGTCCCTAGGAAGGGGGCTGAATCCAGGGAGCCGAGCAGTGCCAGTCTTCAGGCCCAACTTCCATAGCATCTCACAGGATAAGACCCACTGGTTTGGAATCCAGAGCAGCCACCAGCAACAGAGTGGAGCCTGCCTGAGAGGAGATGGAGCCCTCTGGGGGAGGGACCAGGCCACCATATCTGCTGTTTAGTCCAATCAGCTATTCCAGCTTGTGGGTTTTGGAGAGTCCAAATGGTCCGGACAAGGAAGGATTCCAACAGTGCAGCACAGCTGCTTTGCCAGAACATGGCTGGAGTGCTTCCATAAGCAGGACCCTGGTCCATTCCTTCTCAGTGGATGGGACCTCCCAGCTGGGGTCTCCAGCCATGCCTGCCTGCACATATTCTATAGATAAAGTGCTGACTTCTCTCTGGTACAGAGTGCCCTCGGGCAAAGGCAGATTGCCACCTTGGTTGTTTAGACAACTCAGCCATTCCAGCCTGTGGGCTTTGGAGAGTCCAAGCCAATGGGCAGAGGCGGTTCCTTAGCATGGCAGAGCTGTTTGTCAAGACATATCCAGACTGCTTCTTTAAGGGGGACCCTGATCCACTCCTTCTCATGGGAGGGTCCTCCCAGCCAGGGCTTCTGGCCACCCTGTCCATGTTCAAGAGCCAACAGTTCTAATTTCTCTCTGGGAGGGAGTGTCTGGAGAACAACGGGGGTGGCCACCACCTTGGCTGTTCAAATATCTCAGCTGGTCCAGACTGTGGGCCTTCGAGAGCCCTAAAGGATTGGGAGCTGAAGAGTTGCCCAAGGACTCCAGCCACCTCCTACAGGAGGGTTCAGGCTGGCAACCAGTCAGTATCCCCTGGAATGGAGCTTCCAGAGGAAGGGACAGGCTGCCATATTTGCTGTTTTGCAGCCTTTACTGTTGATACCTCCAGGTTTGGGAAAAAATGAGGTGACTAGGGTCTATAGCTGACCCCCATCAAACTGCAGCAAGGCTAAAACAAATAAACATAAAAACAAACAACAACAAAAACCACAAAAAAACCCATCGAAAAGTCAGCAAAATCAAAGATCATGGGTAGATAAGTCCACAAATATGAGAAAGAACCATTGCAAAAACACAGAAAACTCACAAAGCCAGAGTGTCCCTTTTCCTCTAAATGACTGAACCATCTCACCAGCAAGGGCTCAGAACTGGGCTGAGGCTGACATGGCTGAAATGACAGAAGTAGACTTCAAAATGCAGATAAAAACAAACTTTGCTGAGCTAAAGGAGCATGTTGTAACCCAATGCAAATAACCTAAGCATGATGGTAAAACAATACAGGGGCTGACAGGCAAAATAGCCACAATGTAGAGGAACATAACCAACCTGATGAAGCTGAAAAACACACTACAAGAATTTCCCATTGCAATTACAAGCATTAATAGCAGAATAGGTCAAGAGGAGGCAAGACTTTCTGAACTTGAAGACTATATTTCTGAAATAAGAGAGTCAGACAAGAATAGAGAAAAAGGAATGAACAAAACCTTCAGGAAATATGGGATTATCTAAAGAGACAGAATCTATAACTGATTGGGGTACCTGAAAGAGATAAAGATAATGGAAATAATTTAACAAACATACTTCTAGATATTATCAGGAGAACTTCCCCAACCTAGCAAGAAAGGCCAACATTCAAATTCAGGAAATGTAGAAAACCCCAATAAGATACTCCATGAGAAGATCATCCCCAAGACACATAATCATCAGATTCTCCAAGGTCAAAATGAAAGAAAAAGTGTTAAGAGCAGCTAGAGAGAAAACGCAGGTGACCGACAAAGGGAAGCCCATCAGACTAACAGTGGACCTCTCAGCAGAAACCCTAAAACCCAGAGATTGGAGGGCAAAATGTAACATTTTAAAGAACAGAATTTCCAATCTAGAATTTCATATCTGGACAAACTCAGCTTCAAAAATAAAGGAGAGGAGATCCTTTCATAAGAGAAAGAGGTCGTTTTCAGACAAGAAAATGTGTAGGGAATTTGTCACCACCAGACTTGTGTTACAAGAGCTCCTGAAGGAAGCACTAAATATGGAAAGCAAAAACCATTACCAGCCACAAAAAAAAAAAAAAAAAAATACTAAAGTACAGACCAGTAACACTATATAGCAATCACATAAACATGTGTACAAAATAACCAGTTATAATACCATCATGATGACAGGATCAAATACACACATAAAAATACTAATCTTAAATATAAATGGGATAAATGCCCCCATTTAAAAGACAAAGAATGGCAAGCTGGGTACAGAACTAAAACCCATTGGTATGCTGTCTTCAAGGGACTCGTCTCACATACAAAGACACACATAGGCGTTGGAGGAAAATTTACCCAGGAAATGGAAAACAGGAAAATAGCAGGGGTTGCAATCCTAGTTTCTGACAAAACAGACTTTAAACCAACAAAGAACAAAAGACAAAGAAGGGGATTACCTAAAGGTAAAGGGTTCAATTCAACAAGAACAGCTAACTATCTTAAATATATATGCACCCAATACAGGAGCACCCAGACTCATAAGCAAGTTCTTAGGGACCTTTAAAGAGACTTAGGCTTCTACAAAGTAATACTGTGAGCCTTTCACACCCCACTGAAAATACTAGATCATTGAGACAGTAAATTCACAGATACTCAGGACATGAACTCAGCTCTGGATCAAGTTGACCTGATAGATATCTACAGAACTCTCTACCCCAAAGCAATGGAATGTACATTCTTCTCAGTGGAACATGTCACTTACTCTAAAATCAATCACATAATTGGAAGTAAAACACACCTCAGCAAATGCAAGATAATTGAAATAATAACAAACAGTCCCTCAGACCACAGTGCAATAAAATTAGAACTCAAGATTCAGAAGTTCACTCAAAACCATACAACTACATGGAAATTGAACAACCTGCTCCTGAATGACTTTTGGGTAAATAATGAAATTAAGGTAGAAACAAACAAGTTCTTTGTAACTAATGACAACAGAGAAACAACATACCAGATTAACTGGGATGCAGCTAAAGCAGTGTCAAGAGGGAAATTTATAGCACTAACTGCCCACATCAAACAGCTAGAAAGATCTCAAATTGACACTCTAACATCACAACAAAAGAACTAGAGAACCAAGAGCAAACAAACCCCAATGCTAGCAGAAGATAAGAAATAATCAAGATCAGAGCAGAACTGAAGGAGATAGAGACATGAAAAACCCTTCGAAAACTGAAATCCAGAAGCTGTTTTTTTGAAAAAAATAAAATAGACTCCTCACTAGAATAATAAAGAAGAAAAGAAATAATATTCAAATAAATGCAATCAGAAATGATAAGGGAGATATCACCACTGACCCCAAAGAAATACAGACAACCATCAGAGGATACTATAAACACGTCTGTGCACATAAACTGGACAATCTAGAAGAAATGAACAAATTCCTGGAAACGTACACTCTCCCAAGACTGAACCAGGAAGAAACGGAATGCTTGAACAGGGCAATAATGAGTTCTGAAACTGAGGCAGTAATAAATAGCCTAATAACCAAAAAAAGCCCAGGGCCAGATAGATTCATGGGTGAATTCTACCAGAGGTACAAAGAAAAGCCAGTACCATTCCTACTGATACTATTCCAAAAAAAAATGAAAAAGAAGGACTCCTCCTTAACTCATTCTATGAGGCCATCATCATTCTGATACCAAAATCTGACAGATACAAGAAAAAAAGAAAACTTCAGGCCAATATCCTTGGTGAACATCTATGTGAAAATACTCAACAAAACACTGCTAAACCGAATCCAACAGCACATCAAAAAGTTTATCTGCCATGATCAAGTAGGATGCAAGGATGGTTCAACATACACAAATCTCCAGGATGCAAGGCTGATTCAACATATGCAAATCAATAAATGTCTAAAATTCTCTTTTTTTGTTGTATCTCTGCCAGGCTTTGGTATCAGGATGATGCTGGCCTCTTAAAATGAGTTAGGGAGGATTCCCTCTTTTTCTATTGATTGGAATCATTTCAGAAGGAATGGTACCAGCTCCTCCTTGTACCTCAGGTAGAATTCGGCTGTGAATCCTTCTGGTCCTGGACTTTTTTTGATTGGTAAGCTATTAATTATTGCCTCAATTTCAAAGCCTGTTATTGGTCTATTCAGAGAGATTCAACTTCTTCCTGGTTTAGTCTTGGGAGGGTGTATGTGTCGAGGAATTTATCCATTTCTTGTAGATTTTCTAGTTTATTTGCAGAGAGGTGTTTATAGTATTATCTGATGGTAGTTTGTATTTCTGTGGGATCGGTGGTGATATCCCCTTTATCATTTTTTATTGCATCTATTTGATTCTTCTCTTTTTTCTTCTTTATTAGTCTTGCTAGCAGTCTATCAATTTGTTGATCTTTTCAAAAAACCAGCTCCTGGATTCATTAATTTTTTGAAGGGTTTTTTGTGTCTCTATTTCCTTCAGTTCTGCTCTGATCTTAGTTATTTCTTGCTTTCTGCTAGCTTTTGAATGTGTTTGTTCTTGCTTCTCTAGTTCTTTTAATTGTGATGTTAGGGTGTCAATTTTAGATCTTTTCTACTTTCTCTTGTAGGCATTTAGTGCTATAAATTTCCTTCCACACACTGCCTTGAATGTGTCCCAGAGATTCTGGTATGTTATGTCTTTGTTCTCATTGGTTTCAAAGAACATCTTTATTTCTGCCTTCATTTTGTTATGTACCCAGTAGTCATTCAGGAGCAGGTTGTTCAGTTTCCATGTAGTTGAGTGGTTTTGAGTGAGTTTCTTAATCCTGAGTTCTAGTTTGATTGCACTGTGGTCTGAGAGACAGTTTGTTATAATTTCTGTTCTTTTACATTTGCTGAGGAGTGCTTTACTTCCAACTATGTGGTCAATTTTGGAATAAGTGCGGTGTGGTGCTGAGAAGAATGTATATTCTGTTGATTTGGGGTGGAGAGTTCTGTAGATGTCTATTAGGTCCATTTGGTGCAGAGCTGAGTTCAATTCCTGGATATCCTTGTTAACTTTCTGTCTCATTGATCTGTCTAATGTTGACAGTGGGGTGTTAAAGTCTCGCATTATTATTGTGTGGGAGTCTAAGTCTCTTTGTAGGTCTCTAAAGACTTGCTCTATGAATCTTGGTGCTCCTGTATTGGGTGCATATATATTTAGGATAGTTAGCTCTTCTTGTTGAATTGATCCCTTTACCATTATGTAATGGCCTTCTTTGTCTCTTTTGATCTTTGTTGGCAAATCAATACATGTGATTCATCACATAAAGAGAGCTAAAAACAAAATCCATGTGATTATCTCAATAGATTCAGAAAAGACCTTCCATAAAATTCAACATCCCTTCATATTAAAAACTCTCAATAAACCATGTATTGAAGGAACATACCTCAAAATAATAACAGCCATATATGCTATACCCACAGCCAATATCATACTGAGTGGCAAAAACTGGAAGCACTCCCCTTGTAAAACCGGCACAAGACAAGCTTGTCCACTGTCAAAACTCCTATTCAACATAGTATTGGAAGTTCTAGCCAGGGCAATCAGGCAAAAGAAAGAAAGAAAGACATTCAAATACAAAGACAGGGAGTCAAAATATCCTTGTTTGCAGATGACATAATGCTGTATCTAGAAAACTCCGTCATCCAGTTGAAAAGCTGCTTAAACTGATACACAATTTTAGCAAAGTCTCAAGATAAAAATAAATATGTAAAAACCAGTAGCATTCCTATATGCCAACAACAGACAAGCTGAGCACCAAATCACAAATGATCTCCCATTCACAAATGCCACCAAAAGAATAAAATACCTAGGAGATAACAAGGGAAGTGAAGGCTCTCTTCAAGAAAAACTATAAACCACTGTCAAATAAATCAGAAATGACACAAACAAATGGAAAAACATTTCATGCTCATGGATAGGAAGAATTAATATCATGAAAATGACCACACTGCTCAAAGCAATTTATAGATTCAATATTATTCCCATTAAACTCACATTGGCATTCTTCACAGAATTAGAAAAAGATATTCTAAAATTCTTATGGAGCCAAAAAGAGCCCAAATAACCAAGACAATCCTAAGCAAAAAGAACAAACCCAAAGGCTTCATGCTATCTCACTTCAAACTATACCACAGGGCTACAGTAACCAAAACAGCATGGTACTGGTATAGAAACAGACACATAGACCAATGAAATAGCATAGAGAGCCCAAAAATAAGACTAAACAACTATAAGCATCTGATCTTTGATAAAGGAGAAAAACAAGGAATGAGGAAAAGATACCCTGTTCAATAAATGGTGCTCTGAGAACTAGCTAGCCATATGCAGAAGACTGAAACTGGACCCCTTCCTTACACCACATATGAAAATCAACTCAAGATGGATTAAATGTTTAAATGTAAAGTGGTAAACTAAACAAACCCTTGAAGAAAACCTAGGCAATACACTTCAGGACATAGGCATAGGCAAAGATTTCATGAAAAAACATCAAAAGTTATGCAACAAAAGCAAAAATTGACAGATGGGATCTAATTAAACTAAAGCGCTTCTGCACAGCAAAAGAAAGTATCAACAGAGTAAAAATACCACCTACAGAATGGGAGAAAGTTTTTGCAATCTACCCATTTGACAAAGGTCTAATATCCAGCATCTATAAGGAACCTAAACTCACAAGAAGGAAAAAAAACATTAAAAAGTGGGCATTGGACATGAACAGACACTTCTCAAAAGAAGGCATACATGTAGCCAAAAAACATGAAAAAAGATCAACCCCACTGATTATTAGAGAAATACAAATCAAAATGACAATGAGATACCATCTCACACCACTCAGAATAGACATTAAAAAGTCAATAAACAACAGATGCTGGCAAGGTTGTGGAAAATGAAGGACTGTTTTTACAATGTTGGTAGGAACATAAGTTAGTGCAACCCTTGTGGAAGACAATGTGGTGATTCCTCAAAGACCTAGAGACAGAAATACCATTTAACCCAACACTCTCACTACTGGGTATATACCCGAAGGAATATAAATCATTTTATTATAAAGATACATGCACGTGAATGTTTATTACAGCACTATTCACAATAACAAAGACACGGAATCAACCTAAACATTCATCAATGTTAGACAGGATAAAGAAAATATGGTAAATATACACCATAGAATACTATGCAGCCATAAAAATGAATGAGATCATGTTATTTGCATGGACATGGATGGAGCTGGAGGCCATTATCCTTAGCAAACTAATTCAGGAACAGAGAACCAAGTGCCACCTTTTCTCACTTATACGTGGGAGTGAAATGATAAGAACACATGGACACATGTCAGGTAGCAAGATACACTGGGGCCTGTTGGAGGGTGTGGGGTGGAAGGAGAGAGAGCATCAGGAAGAATAATGGATGTTGGCTTAACACCTGGGTGATAAGATGATCTGTGCACCAAACCACCATGGCACACTTTTGCCTATTTAACAAGCCGGCATGTCTTGCACATGTACCCTTTAACTTAAAAGTTGGGAATTTAAAAAAAGAAAGAAAATGTGGTACATATACATCATGGAATAGTATGCAGCCATAATAAAGAACAAGATCATATTATTTGCAGGAAAATGGATGGAGCTGGAAGCTGTTAACTCTAGCAAACTAATGCAGGAACAGAAAACCAAATATAGCACATTCTCACTTATAAGTTGGAGCTAAATGATGAGAACACATGGTCACATGGAGGGGAACAACAGACACTGGGACCTACTGGAGGGTGAAGGTGGGAAGAGGGAGAGGATCAGAAAATGTAACTAATGGGTACTAGGCTTAATACCTGGGTAATGAAATAATCTGTAGAACAAACCCTCATGACACAAGTTTACCTATATAACAAACCTGCACATGTACCCCTGAACTTGAAATAAAACTGAAAAAATACATATTTTTTAATGAAATTTTGCACTTCAAGTTCTGACAAGATGACAGACTAGTAGAGTTCCTCATTCCCGCCACCAAAATCAAATATTCAGAAACTTCAGAAGAATAAAGGTAGCACATATCTGAGGAACCAACAAAAAACTTGAGAGAAACCATGGGGAGACAAAAGATTGTTGTAAAAGTTTCTTTGTATGTCAGGGCAGCCTTGAATGGCATCTCGACACACCTGTAGAAACTGTCAAAATCCTCCCAGGGCTTATTGAGTCTTCTATAATCAGACACTTTGTTAAATTTCAGACCTCAGATCCTAGTATTCCGCCTCTTCCTCACTGACATCCAGTTACCCAAGTCTTTTTGTTGCTCCTGCAATACAAAAAGTATATTCCCATCTCAGCAGTCCTGATCTCGTTATTCCTTCTAGTTGTAATGCTCCTTCTCTTACAGAAAAACACAGCTTCTCCTCAACTGCTTCAGGTCTTGCTCAACTTCTTAGTGAGACCCTCCTTGATGACCCTGTTTAAAACTGCAGCCTCTGCCTTCAATCCCTTTCTGCCATCCCTGCTTTATTTTACTTCATAGTTTATATGGCCATCTGATGCATTACATATCTTAACTATATATCTCTTGTTTATTATTTCCTTCTCTTTCAAATGCACTTTCCATGAGGGCAAGGGGTTTTGTTTGCTGTGTTAACTCTGAATTACCAATGCAAAGAAATGTGTTCATCGCATATTAGGTAAGTAGTAGAAATTCATTGAATAGATAGATAAAATACGATTATATGATTGAATATTTTAAAAGATATCAACAATCATAAAATTAATAGTGTAGTAAGACTTCTAAAGAATACTTAAAGTATGTATACCAAGTTCTTGAGACAAAATTGTTGGCAAGAGATCATATCTGAGGTTTATCTGCCTTTGACTTCACCTTGTAGATGCTTTTATAAATCACTAATTGAAGAGTGTCCTGAAAAGCTGCAAGCTCTAGCATCCTATTTTCCCGATGAAACTTTATTTCTCTAAATGCAATTAGATTTATTAGCGCAAATATTTAACAAATTCCCAAGTATCCTTCTTGAATTAAGATATGACGAACCAGCAGAAATCATCACAGTTCAGTAATGCTATAGATATTCAAATATGCCGTGAATCTAAGCAAGCACATTTTCCTATAGAAGTGGCAAATGTAAGCCTATCAGGTATCTAACTCAAAAATAAGAAAAACCACTGTGTAGTTAAATCATTTATATGTAGTAGAAAACAACATATTCTATTATTTGAGAAGAATATAATTTTGAAGTTAAAAATGTCAGAGGGAATTATAAAGGAATTCAAAAAAGAAGAAATGACACCATTAGAAAGCTTGCTAATGTCAACTGGAGGTTATCTGATCCGATAAGTTTTGGTGGTATTGCAGGTTATTTCATACATAAACTAATGTTAACATATTACTTTTCTGTAATACTTGTTTTTGCAAGTGAAGTAGTGAACAATCAAATACAAATCTGATCATTTTTAAACTTTTAAGGTGTAACTATTTAGAAAAAGATACTAACTGAATAAAACCTCTGACAAGTAAGTAAATGAGAGGTACAATGTTAATCACAGTGAAACAAATCTCCAGAGTGGGCAGCTCTTCAGAAACGGGGATATAAGATTCAAAAACTTTTAATAGTAAGCTTTCCTACCTAACCACTGCAGTGAAAATCATCCACAACTGAGTACCAGCATTTCACATACTAGTCATACTTTGAGTGAAACTCTGTAATATGTGCCTGAAAATGTATCATCTTTTGCACATTTTAGCACCATTTATTTCTAGTTTTCATAGTTACATAGAAATTCTTCCAATTATTTGCTTTTAGTGTGAATAAAACAATATCTGTGCTATCCCTTTACATAGTGTAAATTAGTTATCACTCTATAGTAATAGCATAATTTCTTCACTCATTCTCTAGAAAAATATCTCAGTGTACAGTAAGGAGCATAGAGAGACAAGAAAATTTCTCAACATGTTTTCCAAAGAGAAACTTCCTGTAGCTTTTCTGCCATTGTGAAGGAGGCATGCCAGCTGTTGACAGGAGAATGAATAGATCCAGTCAGGCTTAACATGCATCCTATTGTCCGAAACTGTGTTCATTGGATATGCTGTCAACAAATTTTCTGGTCCCCCTTTTTCGTTGTTGGCAAACTTTATTTTATTTCTCTAAATGCAATTAGATAGTTACGTGCTATGCAGAATAATGACTCTGGGGCATCATTTTCCATCTTAAAAAAAAACAGAAATATTTCCATATTGAATTGAATAATATTTTTTAGCTTTTTTCTATGCATGAAAATCATATTTTGAGATGCTCTCCATTGAGCAGCTTTACTTTTATCTTAACATGCATCACACATACCTCCCCAAATTAAGTAAATACTTCACCAAAAATTTTGCGCCAGCTGCTAGGCATATCGACATAGTTTATTGAAACCTCTTAGGCCTTCAAAACCATAAACGGTCAGCGAAGAACACATGAACCTCCACTGTTTCCAAATATTCCTAGCTTACACATAGGGATTGTATAGGTAAACTCAACCTAGGTAATACTTGATTTCTTCTTTGTGATACCCTGAGGAGAGAACCACACAGTGCCAGACTTCTAACATACAAAACTGTGAATTAATAAATATGTGCTGTTTTAAATTGCTAAGTTTGTGGTAATTTGTTACACAGCAATAACAAACCAATACACTCAATTATCAGCATTCTTTAAACTATGAACAGTAATAAATTATTCACTAGTGTCTGAGAGCAACTAGTACTGGGCTTATACAACATGGGAGAAAAAGACTTGTTAATTTCTTTCCTTTCTTTAGCACACACTATAGGAGTATGTACATATGCCAGGAACTGTACCGCTGCGTTAGGAACTAGTAGTAGAAACTGAAGTCAGATACCAGTCTTGAAGAGATTATAGTCTAGCTATAGAAATGGATAGATAAATAGATAGATAAAATTTAGTAGATAGATAGATAGATAGCAGTATAATAGCTTAAATGTTATAATCAAGAAATTGTGTTAAGGGGAAAACCAGCAATTGTGAAAGATTTAAAATATTTCCCCTGTGGGATATAATAGTTTGATCTTCTTATACTGTCATATAAAGTGGGAATATATATAAAGCTTCTAGCTCTTAGCAAGCATATGAATTCAGTAAACTAAAACTATACTAAGAAAAATAATATGAATTGACAGTGTTGATTCACATATTTTTACAATGTTTATATTGTTTCCAGCCTGGGTGCTTTTCTTGTAAAGAAACATCACTTTCAGAGAATTTCCTCATTGATTGATCACTATAAAACTAATAATTTTTTAATACAACATATTATCAAAATTCTCATATGAAAGTAATAAGTAACATAACAAGCATTTAAAGATAAAATTAGGACCCAGGAGTAACTGGGTACCCAGAAGTAATTAGTACCCAAGTGAGGTGACTTGCCAAAACTGTATGCCTTGTCAAAACCATTCCCACATTTGTGGTTAAAATTAAGGTCAGATCCAGGTACAGAAGCTAATAATTCTAAAGCCAATAACAATGGTGATCACTTGATAGGGGAACAGCAAATGCATTCTGGCATGATATACTTCCCACTCTTTTGATGAACAGACCTACAAACTACACTGACGATACAGGGCATATTTTAGGACTGGAAAGAAAAAAATATATTTGGCCTTGTAGCACGAAAATATATATTTTATAAATATATGACATTCCAAATAGTTTGGCTTTATTATTTTTAATTTCAACATGTTTCACAAAGTAATGTTTGCATTTTAAGTGTATTGGTTAACCCCCTTTAACTGAAACATTTGCCTTAGGAATGTTTAAGATTCTTTTAGTGTATGTACTGCCGAAGAGAGCACTTGAGATTCTTTTAGATGTTAAATTTATATTTCTTTATTTTCAAAACTGTATTGTTCTCAGTACTGATAAGGGATAGAAACCCTTCTACTCTCTAAAGAGATGGCCTTCTTCAATTTCATTTAAAAAGGAATGCTTTATATTATCATGAATTTTAAGATGAAATGACCTCTCCTCTCGATATTATCAGGTGCTCTATTGGCACTTGTTTAAGTGTCTATCAACCTTGATTTGTACTAATGTAATGCTTATATGTCTTTCTTCTCCATTAAAATTTTATCCCTCAGGGGCAACAATGATTTTTTTAAAATCAGCTTTCATACCTCATATTTTTCTGTGCATACTAGTAATTAATTAAATCACATTAATTTCATATGGGTATGACTATGGTCTAAATAAGTTAGCCTTATTTAAAATAATTTTTGTCTGATTCTTAGAGTTTATTTTTCCCCATATGGATGAAACCTAAGTATTAAATACCACAGACATAATTTCTTATTTCATTTGGTGTATAGACTAGGACTAAGGGTAAGACAGACCCATGAGTTTCCAAATATGTAATAAAATGTGACATAATCCATGTATTTGGATTAAATATATAAAGATTAAAAGAGATTCAGAAATCATGGATAGATGAAAGAATGTTATGTAGAAGAATATAGTTTAAGTAGAACCTTGAAGAATAGGTAGAAGTAAGACATTAAAGAGTAAAGAAAGGACAAATTGAGAAAGGAACAGCGTAAGAAAAGTCATGGAAGTAGATAATGTATGGAGTGCGCACTGATAGGTATTTCATTTAGCTGAACACTAGGGTCCATGAGAAGGTGTAGAGAGAAGTAAAGGTAACTGAGTAGGTTGGAACTAGAAGGAAGATACAGAAAAATATCTGACTAATTTGACACAATTATATTTAAGATGTCATTAACTTTACATAAATCTCAGAAATAAAAAATGATCTGAGTTGACTGGCTTCCCTCATTAGTCATATGCTGAAAATCTGGTAAGGAAAGAGACTTATAATACTGAGACAATATACTAGGCAGTCATTAAAGAATAAAAAAGAAAAAAGCATTAAGTGTTTCTGGAAGAATTGTATTCAGGAGGAGTGTGGTAAAATTAGAACTATACATAATCCTCTCCTGCTATTTTTGCAACGGAAAATAGTAGCTCTTAGAGAAAAAAATAGTAATATTATTAGGCTTGGTAGAAATTTTAAACCACTATAAGCATAAAATCAATTTTCCAGCTCAGCACTTCTTTAGTTTATATATTATGCACACATTACTGAGGCAGAAAAGTTAATAAGCCTACTAGCTCTTGAAGGATACCACAAACAAGTAGTGGAGGGGAAAAGAGCTTCTAGTTGAGGACATAGAGAACTCATTCCATTCCTTAGCAGCTTCTCACTTTCCAAACTTTCTAAAAGCTTAACTAATATTATTAGCACATAATCCTAACAACCATAAAACCATTTTTTAAACCATTAAACTAGAAACGGGGAGCATGGTGGAGGGATGACAATTTAATCCTTCCCCAAATCACTCTGATAATAGTTACTCCACAAAGGCCACTGCCACTCATGAGGCAGTCTCAAAGTCATGGGAAGAAGATTCTATCAAATATGCAGCTGACTCCAAGAGAAAAAGAGTAGGCCTGGGTAATTTAGAACTATAAATAGAATACCTACATTACTTATTATTGATAAATATAAGACTGTAAAGTGATTCCGTAGTAAAATTTCATAGTAAAAGGGAACTATGTATATGAGAGCTCTTAGCATCAGGGCACTCTGCCAGGCATTTTACATATACATGATGTATGTAAAACGATTACATATTTTAATATAGCCTTAGTAAAGATAAATTGAATTTTTACTAAAATTTTGTGAGGCAGGCATCATAGATAAATAAAATGTGGTTTGGAGAGCCAAGATTCAAATCCAGTTTGGACTCCAAAGCCCAGGTTCTTCTCATGATACTCATTGCCCATCTATGTTCCTTCATGTTTCTAGGTCGGGCCTACCGGGCACAGGAGACATAGCAGCTCCTCACTGATCTGTGTGTGGGGGCTCTACATAAAGCAGGCAATGCAGAAAAAATGAGAATTGACTGTTAGTACTACTTGGAATATAATTTATCCAAATATTTATAGTAAAATTCAATGTTTGCATAAACTGTAATGAAGCACCTACCATTAGATTAGTTGTGAAGTTATGGTACTTACCCTCAAAAAGAGAAAACATTTTTAATTATGTTCACTCATGGTTTGGGATTGTACTAATTAGCACTGGAAATTATTAGATTATTACAATATCATTTAAATGTCACCCTGTGCCCATTAACCTTGGGGAAAATCAGAATAATTTTATCTATGGCACTTAGAGAACAGCACAAACTGAACTTTGTTCTTTATTGCAATGGCCTCAGTCTAAATAAACTGAACTTGTTCTTTTCAAGGAGATTTCATGTTGTTACAGAGGACAGAACTCACAAATTAAGCCCTCCAGGAAAGAATGGATCATTAGACTAATTGTAAGAAATGAATTCAAAACCAAAAGTAATCATCTTTCAAAACCACAATCCAAACTTTCTCAGAGATAAAGACTACATATCTGGCTAAAACAAAGTTATTTATTTGTAGGTGTGAGTTTGCCTATTAAAGAGAGTCCACTATTTAAGGAATCCTCCCATAATGTGATTTTATAAATATCTTGAATTATGAAATTTTCATAGTCACAGCACCACCAGAATCACGTGATCTTCTGACATGCATTAGCAGTAACAATAATGATAAGACAGTTTCAGCATGAGGAATAACTGAGATTGAATATACTCATGAAATTAGATAGACAACCCAACAATCCACCAACTCTCAAATATATGGTTGATGTAAGAGAATAATGACATCGGGCATTCAAAATTAGAACTAATGTAAAAAATTTTTGTTAATGAATCTAAAAGTTGTATATCTTCTACATCAGAAATGCTAAACAATGTAGCCACACTATAAAGCTTTACTCAGGCAGAAATAATCTATCCCACACCTATCATGTGCAAGATTGTAATTAATATTTAAAAGATGCACACAACATATATCCTGCTCTGTAGAAGAAAACACACTAAACTGCATAAAACAATTGAATTTCAGGGCCTGTGGAGAAACAATATAAAAGAAGCATATTTTGGAATACCTACTGGTATGAAACATTTCTTTATGCCTAATGCAAAAACAGAAGCTTAAAGTGATTTAAGTAAATGTAATGAGATGGTTTATTAAGCCATGGAAGTAAGGTATAAACTCAAGTCTGTCTGGCCCCAAACCTGTATATATTTCTATTTCTCCAGTGTATTTTGCAAGAAGGTTATTACATGAAATAAAGATGCAATTGTTGTAGAAGTTTAAGAAATGTTCAGTTTTAAAAAGTTGAACAAACTTCTTCATTTACTCAAGGACTTTTCAAAGACTTCCACACATCAATATGCTTTTTAAGTCTTCAACATTTCCTTTCAAATAAGGATATTAGAAAGATATTTTGGGAAAGACTGTGCTATACTCTGCTGTCTCTATCACAAGGTATAGGAAATATTCAGGAAGATATCAAAGGAGGGTGTGATTCACCTAAAGTAGATTAAAAAATTAGAAAGCGGCCGGGTGCCTTGGCTCACACCTGTAATCCCAGCATTTTGGGAGGCTGAGGCGGGTGGATCACCTGAGGTCAGGAGTTCAAGACCAGCCTGACCAACATGGTGAAACCCTGTCTCTACAAAAAATACAAAAAATTAGCTGGGCATGGTGGCGGGCACCTGTAATCCCAGCCACTTGGGAGACTGGGGCAGCAGAATCACTTGTACCCGGGAGGTGGAGGTTGCAGTGAGCTGAGATCCTGCCATTGCACTCCAGTCTGGGCGTCAAGAGTGGCACTCTGTCTCAAGAAAAAAAAAATTAGTTCCATGTAGAAGGTGGGCTTCAACAAGGTCTGGAAATATCAGTAGGATATAAGTGAGATAAATGAGAAATGAGAGGATGTTCCAGGCAGATAAATGGATCTAACCAAAGGTACAGCAGTGGTAATGACCAATGCACCTTTGTGAAACATTGATCAATAAAGGATTAAACACTATCATAAGGGACTTTAGTATTTTGCAGTTCATCCTCAATGTAATATTCAGTCTCCCCTTTTGCTTAACATTCATGATGTGGGCTGGGGAAAAGAATAAAATATGATTGCTTTATAACATTGTAGCCGTATTATAACAGGCTTCAAAAGAGAGAGGAACAGAATTGTTACTCATTGACCTCATAATAAAATACACCTGGCATCTGCCTACCCTCTGCCATGCTAAGTATGTGGGGTGGGAAAAGAGGAAAGGGGTTCTAATGGGAGGCTATCTCAAAAGCATGTGAGTAAGAATTTGATTTGGGACTTACTATCAGGCCACACTATGAATCCAGCTGCATCTCATTAAGCAGGCTCCCCTCTCCTTTCTTCTCCACATTTATCCTTCCTCAAGAAGGCACCATTTTGGATTATGGAATATGGAGGAGATATGTCCCTCATTTAGAACTCCTAAAATGTCATTTCCTTCAACTATCTCATTATTTAGTAATGATATAAGGCCAAAGATATTCTAATAATACAGATGTTAGGAAAATGTAAAGAAAATGCCTTTCAGAGTAAATTAAAAATTATACTGATTTGATTCTTTTGTGACTTTTAATGAAATTATAAGAAGTCTAATTTTGGTAAAAAATTAAAATTAATTATTAGGCAATGACTATATCTCTCCACATTCATGAGCACTTTGCAATCCTGAGTTATGATTTGGTCTCAGTGTTCAGTAACTGCTAACAGCTTATCCTCTTATTTGTATACAAACCTGTCACTTGAGTGGAATTATAGTTGCCAATTTAGAAAAGGGGAGTTGATCCATGTTTTAATATGTAAATTTGTAATAACTTATGTGGTGATATTTGAATTTCCTTTGTTTATGCATAGACAGTAGCCTCAATGGGATTTTCTTCCCTCTAAGTTTGATATCTTTGACTCATACCTTGCTTTGACTGTGGAAGACAATAAAGTGGTGAAGTTGATAAGAAAATAATACAGGTTGAGCATGTCGAATCCAGAACTCCAAAATCCAAAATGTTCCAAAATCTGAAACTTTCTGAGCACCAACATCATGCTCAAAGGAAGTACTCATTGAGGCATGTTGGATTAGGAATACTGAACCTAAGTATAACGCAAATATCCCACAATCTGAAATAATCCAAAATGTGAAACACTTCTTGTCCCGAGCATTTCAGAGAAGGGATACTCCTTCTGTAATTAGAAGAAAAAAACTCTTTCTTAAATGTAGAGACTGGATTTTCTATCAGTAACCAGTTTATCAATATTTGATAGTCTGATGTTTGCATGGCAACTATACAAATTATATGTGCTTTAAAATCTATATTAGTAAATGTTACATAACTATGAAAGTGTTTATGTATATTTATCAAATGGCTTATATATAATAAAATTAAATTAAGCAAAATAGGAATAATTTACTTTTAAGTTATAGGCATTGGCATAAATAATGAACAGGCAAACTGTTCTTAGAAGTTTTCATAGAGTAAGGTGCATATAAATTATGCTGAAAACTGGAGAACAGTTAATAGTGAAATAAATATGGAATAGGTTTCCAGTCACAGTAAATTTATTAAAGGTTTGACTCAGCTTTTAAGAGATATAAAACCAGTAATTGTCTCGTCTTTTGTTGACCTCAGCCACAAATATATCTGAGATCAGTTGCTCTGAGGGCACCATCAGCTCTAGTAATGAATTCATTATTTCCATTTATCTTACAAAAAATACTTATGAAATGTGCCCTTGGTGCAAAGCTCAGTGCTGGACACAGGGAATACAATGCCTTGCGAAGCATGATCTAGTGGTTCACAGATAGATAACCCTAACTGTCATAAAAGGCAGCATCTGTTGGTGCCTTTGATAAAAGCACAACAAAACAAAGAAATATTAAAGAGATTAGAGGTAGGAGGAATAAAAGCAGCTAGGCTCACCAGGGATGTCTTGTTGGAGCAGGAGGGATTTGAGCAGGGACTTGAAGAAAGGATTATATTTTTAAAGAATGGACGGTAGAGTGAATTTCAGGTGGAGTGAATTTCAAGTAGATTAAAAGCTTCTTGCATTTACTGTAAGAAAAATAGTGCTTCTTTTTCTATGAAAGAAAAATACTGCAAATGCTCAACAACGTTTATAAAAGTTCAATTTAGAAGTTTGGCCTTTAAAAAATGTGAATGGGATAGTACTGAAGTTTTTTGATTAGGAGAATGACATTTTCAAAAAATAGCCTTTTCATCCCCATGATTATAACCTCAGTCAATGTCACCATCATCTCTTACATGAACATGTGCATAGTTTTCTAATTGACCTTTATTTTACTCTTCCAAACTCCCCATCTAAGTGTCTATATATCTTGGCATTGTAAAAATGATGAGGTTTTATAAGATAACCTCTGTGATATTCGACCTTCCCTCACAGGAACAATGTTACCCAATTGCAAGCATTTGAGAGAGGGCTGGCCAAATGTAAGAAACTTCATTGGCTCCAAAAATAGAATGGAGGAATCCTACAGGCTGTGATTTTTAGCTCCATTCTCAGATTTGTGATGACAAAATCTAGACCAAGTAAATAAAACTAAAAATTATTCTGGCCCTGTGATTCTATGCAAAGTATCTGCAGAATATTTCAATAATGTCAAGGCATAAAAGTTTTTTAAAGTGTAGTAAGCATGCGTGTACTTAAAGTGGATTTACTTCAGCTACTTAGGTGTAGCCTTCAGCCTTTCACCTGATGCCTTTGTGTTTCAGTTTAGTTAGATACACAGTACAAACCTAGGACTAGAGGATGT